>NC_000004.12:88466835-88618350 GCF_000001405.40 Homo sapiens | reverse complement strand
ACTGCAAATACTAAAGGCATTCCCCATTGCTTTTCTACTTTAAAAGCTACCTTAGGGAGTCATGAAGAACAGAAAGATGAATAAAGCACAGGCTGGCACTCATAAAGACATTGCAATAAACTTCCAGTTTCTTATTCATGGCTAACCTGGTTTAATGTATCCCTATTACATAGCACCTCAAAGAAAATAAAAACATTCCATAATTAGTTCAGCCTTCTTCCCTCATCTGAAGGGAAAGGAGAACATGATTTGTGCCTCCTGGTGAGTTCAGCACAACTGTTATCTCCATTTTCCTATCGTTCCTTTCTCTCCAGCTTTTTCTCAACATCCTCGCTTCCAGCTCGTCCTGGAGGAGACCCAGCATTCACTGCCTGCCTGCTGCCTCCACTTCCTTGAGGGAAACCAGGGGACTTGCTGCCTAAGGGCATAATGGTCCCCACTTTTCTGCACTCCCTGTTTTTTTTTTCTTTTTTTTTCCTTTAGACGGAGTCTCGCTGTGTCGCCCAGGCTGGAGTACAGTGGTGCGATCTTGGCTCACTGCAAGCTCTGCCTCCCAGGTTCACGTCATTCTCCTGCCTCAGCCTCCCGAGTAGCTGGGAATACAGGTGCCCACCACCACGCCCTGCTAATTTTTTGTATCTTTAGTAAAGACGAGGTTTCACCGTGTTAGCCAGGATGGTCTCGATCTCCTGACCTCATGATCCACCTGCCTCAGCCTCCCAAAGTGCTGGGCTTACAGGCGTGAGCCACTGCACCCAGCCTCCCTATTTTGACTTTGTGCCCAAACAGCCTCTGTGTATAGGCAGAATGTAGAACTTGCTGTTTCAATCAGCACAATCTACTTAATTTCATCATGATCAGCACAGTTCATATAGTATGAGGCCAATTCCAAACCAATAAATTAAAGACTCCTTTAATGTGATAAACTAATCACAAATCTATTTGAAGTGGAAAATGTTGGGGATTTTGTTTGTTTTTGTTGTTGTTGTTGTTAAGGGCTCTCTGCAAGCTCTTATTAGTATGACTTTGAAAAGAAGAAAATGAGATAGAACCTTATAACCCTCTTCCTAGCAGTACCAACAACTCCCAAAAAGAGTCAACAGGCTGAGATGCTGTTGTGACTTGTCCTCAGAGAAGGTTCTCAATTTCTTTTTTTTTTTTTTTTTTTTTTTTTTGGAGACAGGGTCTTACTATATTGCACAGGCTGGCCTCAAACTCCTGGGAAGCTGGGCCTACAGGCATTTCAATAGTGAAGCGTACTAAAGGAGAAAAATATCATGAGAGAAAATAATACTTTCAACATAACAAGCCAATTCTGGCGCCCAAAAAAACATGGCATAGTGGCAAGGCTGACCCTGGCTGGTAAAGCACTTGGGGAATATATGCAGGCTTTAAATGAGGCCCAGAAAAATCTTACACCCACACTAGTAGGCTAGAGATTTGGCAGGAAGAATAAATCTCTGCATCACTACAAAATTCCACTCCAGAACAGAAAGATGGGAAACACATGAGGCAACTGTGCTACTGACTTAGCCTATCCTAGAAATACCTCTTCTCATGTGAGATGATAAATTTTACTCATTGTTCATGACACAGCTTAGCATTCTGTTGTTACTTGAAACTGCAAGCATAGCGACTAATACATTACCACTAAAACAAACAAACAAACAAACAAACAAAAACAGAGATCATGTAGGTTTAGACTCCAGAGTGAGCTCTTCTTAGGCAACTGAAGGATGCAGAAAGGAAAATCACTTGCATTCTTTCAGGTCATTTATCTCTCCATCCAAAGATTCACCCCCATCACAGCTAACTGGAAGTCTACAGTAACTGCCCAAAGATTTCAGCTGGGCTAGGAGCCAGTGGATTGCACTCTATTTACTAAGCCTATGACAAGATCATACTACCCAGCTAACTGGTGCCAAACCACTACAAGACTTTCAGGAGCACCATAAAGTAGTCCCTGGTGTACCACAGTGCCCACAGCGACCTAATTTGATTCCCTTATCTTTGCCATTTTGGATGAGAATGCTGGAAGTAATGGTAACAATTGCATAGAGAGAAGATGTATGTATGCATGTCCATATGTGGATAATCAGTTTTACAGTGTACCCAACATATGTAAGGTACTTTTCATGAGAACAATAAAGTAAAGAACTGCAAAAATTAACAATAAAGAAAATAGACTTATCCTTTAAAACCTAAAATAAAAATGAACATAATATAAACTCTCCCTTAACAACCCTAACTTATAACATCTTCCTCAGCTGAATGTCCATATCATTCATCAGATCCTGTAGTATTAAGGGAATCTATAAAAGTGACCAACACAATTTATAGATGTATATGTTTGTATACATCTAGAAACTGTATGTATTTGTCATGAATGTATTAATTTGTTAATATGCTGGAATAGCAGGATAAAAACAATTGTAATGAAAAGTGTCAACACAAATTACTACTACTGCTACTACAAATAATGATAATAGCTAGTACTTGCTTTGGCAGCATATACACTAAAATTGGAATGAAATAGAGATCAGCAATTATTTTTTCAAATTAAAAATAAGAATAAATAATAATAGCTAGTACTAATTGAGTGTTTACTATAAGCCAAGCATTATTCCAAGTATCTGATAGGCAATGTATTAAATCTTCACAACCCTAATAAGTAGACATTATTATCTACATTTACAACTAAGGAAACTAAGACATGTAGAGTTTAAGCAACTTTCTCCAAGTCACACAGCTAGTCCATGCTCTTATTCATTATACTGCCTCCATAATTAGCTAATACTCTAAATTAAAATTATTCACAATCATGATTTCAGTTGTTGCAAGTCAGTTAATAATTATAATAGAAATTTCAATGCATATTTTAATAATAAGTGAAAAAATGATGGAAAGTCTACAAGGATATGAGACCATACATCTGTTAGAGGGTTATCAAAGATTTCAACATTACATGCTATCACAAATGGCATTCACTCAAAAAGACATACAAAGAATTCCAGTAGCCCTTGAAGAGATGTAAAATATCAGCTGACCAGATATACCCCATTCAGGCTGATAAACTACAACATTCTACCTACCCCAGATCTATAAAGATCATAGATCACCAACCTAGATGAAATCATCAAAATTGCCAAACTAAAAAATTGCTATTGTAACACAAAAATTCAGAATTAAAGGGTGGATTTACAAAAATCGCTGAACATCCCTAGAATCCTGAAACCATCTCCAAAGCTGCCCCTTCTCCAAAATGTTACAATTCGCTCCTCCAACAAGCTCACAAACTTAAGATAAATGTGAACCTTATAATGTGTGTAGGTATAGAAGATGACATTTGTTAGAATTCAGAATTCAGTACTGTTGGTGACCTATCTCTTCACTGCAGGACACTTATTTTGACACACATAGGACCTGTATCACCTGTTTGACACCTGCTGAACTGCAGGATATAACCTTTTTGGGTATATCTTATATTCTCACCTGGTCTATAAATGCCCAAAGGGTGGGATCTGCACTAATTTGTTGTGTTGTAAGAGTATTTAAAACAAATGAGGAATCTAGAAGTTTAGTCACTCAGTAAATGTCTGCTGAATCAGTGACTGAATAAGAAGTAAATAATTCAAGAAAATAAAAAAACAAAGAACAAGAGGCAAATAGCAAGACAAAATACATCAGCCTGAAATATGAATTATCATGTGTGCTTTTTATTTGGTGCTCAAAAGAGCTTAAAAAGGCAGCTGACAAACAGTAGTCTAATGGGTTTCAAGATAAAAAGGGAATTGTTTCTTAGTACCTTTTACCAAAGTACCTTGATCATATTTGTATTTAAACAATAAATTAAGGAATACAAGCTTCTGGGTGGGCAAGTTTATATCTTTTTTGTTTCTTTAATAAGTACTGAGTGGAAATTAAATGTAAACAAGTTTGACAATAAAATCTTATCAGCCATTCTCAATCAGCCTGAGGTTACAAAAATGTCTGTGAACAAAATTCTAGGATTATTAAACCCAAACTGTCAGTACCTAAGCAAGACTCAAACTCAACTCCCTTTTCTTTCCTCCTTTACATATACCTTGGATAATAATACTGACCTACTTTACAAAGCTATCATGAGGATTAATCAGCTTAAAAATGCTAAGCATATCAGAAATAAAGAGAGCTTATATATGTATCATTAACCACTTTTATAATTAACAAATTAACTAAAATTCTTGTTTCACGAAGCAAACCATTTTGTTAATTACTTAAAAGTAATACTGCAGGTTTTTAAAAGTCACAAATACCTCACACTAACAAGTATGCTCATTAATAAGTACACATTTTCTAAAACACTCAAGTATCTTTATAGAATGTAGGCTGAGTATCAGACAGAAAAAAAATTCCGATCAATTATCCCACAATAAAATTATTAAATGACAGTTTCTCCTGATCCTTAGACCTCTGAACCAGAAAGTCATCTACCTAGCTATCAAAGGAGGCAAGACATCCTACTAGTTTTGATTATAACCATTATCACCAAAATCAGAAAGGGGTGCACAGCCTCCTGAACCACCTGCCATTCCTAATAAGGAACAGATGGGGCCCTAACAAGTGCAATGTTGAGATCTGAACACTTCCTATGGCACATTCTGCCTTTTATATCAGCGTTATGCCCATAGAAACACGCACTTCAATAACAGGAAGTCATTACAGGGTCCCTTCTATTTCCTTTCAGCTCAGCTGGTTTGCTTTTCAGCAAGAGCTGATTAACATGACAGAGTTATTGCGCCCTTCAGATGCCCGAGAGCAACCTGAGAAGCTGGTTGAAAGCATTACTTCTACCATGGTTAGAAGCAAGCACAGTTTGGGAATTGAAGCTTTTGGACGTTCTGCTTTATAAACCTCATTTATCAAACAGCAGGAAAGCTGTTACATATGGTGATGGGCATTAGGGAAATGCTTAGACTGAATACAAAGTGCGAATGTGAATTGGATTAAATTACCTGCAAGAGGGAAACTAACTCAGGAGAAAGTAAAAGGAACCAATCACAGAGATGAATCAAATAGAGTTGCACAGAAATGTTAGAGCTTGCTTATAAATTGTTACCCTTGGGCTCTGCTATAAGAAGATTTCCTGGTATGTCTACAGAGAATTTTAAAATTTAGCAGAGTCAAATTAGATTACACTAAATAACTGCCCCTACCACGGTTCTTGTCTATTCAAGATAGGGAGAAAGATTAGAAGACACTTATGTAAGTTCAGATATCCCTAATAACACAGAGATTAGCTTACCCTAAAATCCCAATATTAGAAATCAGAGTATGTATGAGGAAAGGAGAACTATTCATTTAGCTGAAGAGTACTGTTTACAATGTGGCTAGGTAGGAATATGAGAGGCATGGTAAATTAAGGTATTTATTGAATCCTTTCTATGGACAACCAGTCTCTAGTTTAATAAAAGAGCTCAAGATTTACTTAATGTCCACTTAGTCACTTATAAAAAATAACATTCAGGAAAAAAAAGCTTATGTTTTGTTTGCTTGCTTTATTAAAAAAAAAGTGGGGAAGGCACACAAGACTTCCTAAAATGCCAGCTCTGTAACTTTATGTCTTAGAAAATTATAAAATAAATTCATGGACAAAAACCATAAGGAAATTAGTAATAACCCTATGATGACTCCAATCACAAAAACTCTGTCTGCTTTGTCGGGGAGGGATGAGGTATATGTCTGAATGCAAAGGTGAGAATGAAGGAGAGAAAAGTCATGTGAGAGAGGAATGTGCAAAAGACTTATAATCCAATACTTTTTTTTAAAGCTGGAAATTGAGTTTAGATGGGGCTTAATATACTACATCTGAAAAATGCTTCTGGGAATCACAGGCCTCTATGCCCTTGGCCAAATCACAAATGAGTCATGGACACACCTAAGCTAGAACTCTGTGTGCTGCCTGACACACTGGGAAAATATCTGGGGCCTGAATAACCAGGAGTTTCAGAATTTGATGTATCTTTGAAATGCCTCCTTCTTACCACACACACACACACACACACACACACACACACACACAGTTGGTCACATAAGGGTATTGCTAATGTGAGAAGTACAGAAATGAGAGTACAAAGAAACCACAGTAGTCTCAGGGTCAGCAACAGCAATAGTTAACTGTTACATATTCTTAAGAAGGAAAAAAAGGATCTCCAAAACCCTTAGAATCACTGAGAGGTGCTTTATATCACTGCTCTGGCACATCTACAGAATGCATCCCAAAAAAATGAATTGATGTGCCTTGCAGCTGAACCAGTTAGAGACAGAGTGTATAACATGGTATATGATGACTAGCAGGACAGAATCAAGGCACACATTAGAAGACTTGTCCAGGTGCATCTCCTACACCAGTACCTTCTTTCAACTTTCCTTCCCCTCAGGAAGGTCAGATTATGTGGCTCCCAGGGTTGTTTGCATTTTAACAGGAAACAAAGTTTCAAGGCAATGAAATAAATTCTCCTCCAGACTAGTGCTAGATGACCATACCCATGCTGGTGGACACCCTGCTAGGACTAGAAATATTAACAAGTCCAATCAGCAAAGTAAGTGTTGATGGTCAGGCATTACTCCATTCACAGCCAGTACTGCAAAGCAAGAAAAAGAAACTTAAGTTTGCCACTTGGGTTCAAAACTCTGTAAGCCACTTGGAGTTGGCCACCATGGAATTAACTCCTTCAACTCACTTCTTCACACTCTCAAAGCCTTAGAGGAACAGTCATACACTCACTTTTTAAAATCCTTCATATTTCAAAGTCAACCAATCTGGGCAATGATACCAAGCTGAAATCACAGACCTGCCCATAACCCCCAGAAAAATCCTCTTTTAAGGAAGGGGCCTTCCATCATGTTCCCTTCCCAAATACCACAGAAGCTACTTGGGGGTAGCATTCCTGTGGGCCAAGACCAACAGATACCTGTAACAAACTAGGCCTGCCACAGACTTCCCTTCCATGTCTAGCAGCTCTCCAGGTCATGGTTCTCAATAAGCAAACACAGAAAACAAGTTCATTCTCTTCTTCCCACTCATTAAAAACAAACGCAAATCATATCCAGATTTAGAACACACCTACCAACGAAAAAGTTAAATGGAGAGAGGGAGGCACCCACCCACATAATCTTTCCATTCAAAGAGGCATTATTCCAAGCTGCTATGGAGTTTATAATTAACAGACAAGCTTAACCAACAACAGAAATTTCTGGAATCTCTTGTAATTTACACTACAGCCTGCCTTATTCCAAATTTAGATCACAAGCATGGGCTGGATTCCGAGGCTGAATCCCAAAGCCTTCTTGGCACACCTCTAGCTTGGGATTCTTGCAGTCACTCAGCCCTGTGGGGAGGGCGTCTGCAGGATGACTGAGGGCCAGCTGACCCAGTATGCAGACAGACGCAGTGCGGCTGCTTTGCCAGAGCTCACTCACATCCAGAGGCCCAGCAACACCTACCATTAGCTCCTTGGAGCTGCATCAGGAGGCTGTGCTAGAGAAATGTCTCGTTGCACTCAGATGTATTCATTATGATGCCTTCTACAGATCTTTGCTATCATTGTTCTGCGAGGTTTTTGCTTCCTTTCCCAGCTGCTACCCCAGGGTGAATCCTCTCCCCCAAGTTCCAAGACCAAGGTGTGCACTGAGGCATATCTGAGCAACTGACTCTGCAGTGAGGCTGCCTGATAGAAGACCAAGCCACAGAGAAGACAGACAAGGAGGGTGGGAAGAGGGTGGCCATCACTGGCTACCGTCAGAGGCGTGTGAACCAGAGCAACTCCATCTTAAACAAGAGCTGGGTAAAATGAGACTGAAACCTACTAGGCTGTATTCCCAGACGGGTAAGGCGTTCTTTTTTTTTTTTTTTTTTGAGACGGAGTCTCGCTCTGTCCCCCAGGCTGGAGTGCCAGTGGCGTGATCTCGGCTCACTGCAACCTCTGCCTCCCGGGTTCAAGCAATTCTCCTCCCTTAGCCTCCTGAGTAACTGGGATTACAGGCACGCGCCACCATGCCCGGCTAATTTTTGTATTTTTAGTACAGATGGGGTTTCACCATGTTGGTCAGGCTGGTCTCGGACTCCTGACCTCGTTATCCACCCAGCTCGGCTTCCCAATGTGCGGGGATTACAGGCGTGAGCCACTGCACCTGGCCCAGGTAAGGCATTCTAAGTCACAGGATGAGACAGGAAGTCAACAAAAAATACAGGTCATAAAGACTTTGCTGATAAAACAGGTTACAGTAAAGGGGCCAGCCAAAACCCACTAAAACCAAAATGGCCACGAGAGTGAGCTCTGGTTGTCCTCACTGCTACACTCCCACCAGCGCCATGACAGTTTACAAACGCCATGGCAACGGCAGGAAGTTACCCTACATGGTCTAAAAAGGGGAGGCATGAATAATCCACACCTTGTTTAGCATATCATCAAGAAATAACCATAAAAATATGCAATCAGCAGACTTCAGGGCTCTGTCTATGGAGTAGCCATTCTTTCATTCCTTTACTTTCTTAATAAATTTGTTTTCATTTTGTACCACGGACTTGCCCTGAATTCTTTCTTGAGAGAGCCAAGAACCCTCTCTTGGGGTCTGGATCGGGACCCCTTTCCTGTAACATATTTCTCTGTCTGTAACACTACCAGCAGTTTTGTGGTGTCTTCTTTATCATGTGAATCCCCTTCACCAAGAACTATCTGATTAGAACAGGAAGTCTACTCCTTTTACAGGAAAGGGAACTGTGACTCAGAAATAGGAAGAAACTTGCCCAGGGACAGGCAATTATTTCCTGGTAGATAAAAAACTAGATCCCAGTTCTCAAACTCCCAGCTTAGGCTTCTTTCCCTGTAACTCCAGAGACAGTATCAGCCTTTACACGGGATGGTGAAACTGCACGGTAGCATAATTTCTGAGGCATGATATAAAACTGCCAGACACTGCATTCAATATTTACACAGATTACTCTACCTATGAAAGAGTATTATAATCCCCATTTTTATTTATTTATTTATTTTGGGGTTTTTTGTTGTTGTTGTTTGTTTTGTTTTGAGACAGAGTCTTGCTCTGTTGCCCAGGCTGGAGTGCAATGATGCAATCACAGCTCACCACAGTTTTGATCTCCAGGGCTCAAGTGACCTTCCAACCTCAACCTCCCAAGTAGCAGGAACAACAGGTACACACCACCATGCCCAGCTAATTTTTTTTTTTTTTTTTTTTTGCATCTGTATGTTGCCCAGGCTGGTCCCCAACTCCTTGGCAAGCAATCCTCTGGCCTTGGCCTCCCAAAGTGATGGGATTACAGGTGTGTGCCACCACACCTAGACTATAATCCTCATTTTAGATTAGAGATGTAATGCCTCCATTAGTTTTATCTGATTCCAAACTTCACCATAACCTTGCTGTCTCCATGGGAGGACTAGAAAGATCTCTTCCCAGTTCCCAAAATACTCCCTTCAAAGGCTGGCTAGAGTTGTACAAGTCCTTCAAAGATCATTGGAATGAAGTTCCTAAATCCTGGCTGAATGTAGACTGTTGGGCCATGACCCTCCAAATGCATTACTTGTTAGACACTGGCTCTGGCCTAGGGAAACAGAGGGCACATTTAGGAGCTTAATGTGAGACACAAGTGAGTTTTAACAGGAGGAAAAGAAAGAAGACTTGGTTTTTAATCTGTTCCAGTATGAAGACCATTTGAAAAAGTCAATCTTCTTCCTGCCACCTCCATGGTAGTTGTATATGATACCTTTGTATTCTATTAATTGGTAAAATACATAATAAATAGGATTTACTAATTTCTGAATTAGTGGCATTTTCAACTGAATTTTCATTTTAGTAAACAACAGAATAATTTGAAAACCTATAGTATTGAGTGCACTGTACATGGAATGGTGTTCATCTGTAGATGACTCTACAAACCCCTTCCTTGAAATCCCAAGATTTCAGGGTCCTCAGGTTAAGAAACCCCTGACTAGAACATGGGGTACTGCCCCCAGATGAGTAGGCCTGGTGCATTTCTCACAGCGGGCTTCCTGAAGGAACCTGGTGGCAAAGAATGAGGAATTGGAAGCTCATCAACCACACTTCACATCCTTCACAATTGTGCCTAAGCCCTGCAGCCCTCTTTCCAATGGGCAACATAAAAATTAACGATTATAAATTTACACTGACATTTTGGGCAGGGAAACTACGGAACATGGTCACTTACTATGGAAGGGAATAATAAACGTGAGAGAAGAGGGAGACAGTGTCACAGAAAAAATTTAATTCGTATTGATGCCAAATAAAATGATAAAATCATCTAGAAAAAACTGTAAGGTTATTCTTTAATGAAGCTTCAGTGTCTGGAATGATCTGTATTGAATGAAAAGAATGGCAGGTAACAAAAAAAGGGGCAAACACCTATGCTAGTGTGACAAATATGTGGTCACAATTTAAGACCCTACCTTAAAATTTCTCACCAAAAGAAGATTCATTTACACATCCTCACTACTAAGAGGACCTTATAAATCCATGCTACACATATACTGAAAGTCAAACTTAGATTCTTTAAAAGTAAAAATAGGGCCAGGAACAGTGGTTCGCACCTGTAATGCCAGCACTTTGGGAGGCCAAGGCAGGCAGATTGCTTGAGCTCAAGAGTTTGAGACCAGCCTGGACAACATGGCAAAACTCCGTCTCTACTAAAACAAAAATTAAAAAATTAGCAGGTGTATTGGCACATGCCTGTAGTTGTAGCTACTCAGGAGACTGAGACTGAGAGGATATCTGCAGCCTGGGAGGCGGAGGTTGCGGTGACTCAAGATGGCACCACTGCACTCCAGCCTGGGCGACAGAGCCAGATCCTGTCTCAAAAAAAAATGTAAAAATAGGTGGAAAAAAATAAAATCAACAAGCTTAAAATATGTGTAGCACCTGTTATAAATCAATTAAAAGCACTGAAATTTAAGGAAACGAATTAGTCCCCCTACCTTTCCAGCTTATCCTCTTCCATCACCCTCTCTTCCCAGTCTCACCACACTATTCAACATGCCTTGAACAAGTATTGCACCTTTATATTCACATCACTGGGTATCAGGTGTGCAATAAGCTTAGTGATGCTGCCACATTCATTCATACACCCAAGTGCACATGCATACACACACACACACACACACACACCAAAGTGCTACTCAACACCCAAAGGCAGAACCAATCTCCCCTCCCCTACACCTCTGGTGTACTCTTCAACTTACATAACACAGACTTGCATGACAGCATTTGCCATAAGGATCACTGCAGCCACATCATCACCATATCTCATTCATCCCTCCACTCATAACAGCAATCGCATTGCTTAGCACAAAACATGTAAGAGCATGTTGCAGAAACAAAGGAATGAATATAGGTAATCAGGAAGTAAAGTTTCTGATAGTGATTGTGTGAGGATTACCTATTCAAAAAACTGTCATATTTCTCAGCATTAAATTACTGGATGATATGATTTGGCTGTGTCCCCACCCAAATCTCATCTTGAATTCCCACATGTTATGGGAGGGATCCAGTGGGAGGTAAATGAATTATGGGGGCAGGTCTTTCCTGTGCTGTTCTCATAATAGTGAATGAGTCTTAAGAGATCTGATGGTTTTAAAAATGGGAGTCTCCCTGCACAAGCTCTCTTCTCTTGTCTGCCGCCATGTGAAACATGCCTTTCACCTTCTGCCATGATTGTGAGGCCTCCCCAGCCACGTGGAACTGTAAACCCAATAAACCTCTTTCTTTTCTAAACTGCCCAGTCTTGGGTATGTCTTATCAGCAGTGTGAAAACCGACTAATACAACGGGCAAAATCTATTTTATTCTAACTCTGAACTAACTAGTCACCTCCCCTCCCCAGGTAACTGATATTACATATGTTCTCTAAGAAGATAAAAAATAAAAAGTCTTGTGGTGGCGCATGTCTGTAATCCCAGCTAGTCAGGTGGCTGAGGCATGAAAATTGCCTGAACCTGGGAGGTGGAGGTTGCAGTGAGCCAAGATCTCACCACTGCACTCAAGCCTGGGCGACGGAGCGAGACCATATCTCAAAAAAAAAAAAAAAAGAAAAGAAAAGAAAAGTCTGCTTTTCCATCAAAAGGCTTGAATTAGACACAAGGGTTCCAAACAGGAAGGAATCCCTGCACCGTTCAAAAGAGCCTCCCTGAAAACCGAACACTTGGTGGAGAAAGCTCCATCTGGGCCCTCTGCCATTGTGTCCTCCAACTTTCCATTCTCACCAATAATCAAGACAGATAAGGTGCACTTACCTGGCTTGTTTCCTTCCCTCTCATGGCCCAGTTGCCCCTTGGTGTTCAAACCACATGTGTAAACTTCCCCATCTTCCAGCAGGAACACAGAGTGGTTTCCCCCACAGGCCACTTCCTTGACACTTCTGTCAGATATGAACCCACACACCTGGGGCTCAGCCACAATTCCCTGCAGGTTGGTGCTGATACCAGGTTGGCCCAGAGACCAATATCCCCAACATAACATTGTTCTTATCTTTCAGGGAATCATGTAGCCTAGGAGAGAGTTTAAAAAAATTATTTTTTAATTAAAAAGAAATAGGTCATAGAAAATCAAGTAATGAATGTAACCAATTTTAAAAATAACCCTCCCCTTAATATTCTTCAGATATCTTACAACTCAAAATAAAACATATTAATACTGTTGAAAGCAGTTATGTTATAATGATGCTATTTTGTATTTTAATCAGAGTTTAAAAAAGAAGTTTAAATAAATTGTGTTTGTTTAAATGAATGAGTAAACAGACAGAATATGGTTTTCAGATCACTGCTAAAGGATACTGAGTACAGGAGATGGGCTGAAACAATCTTGGCAAACCATTAAGTTAGTAACAGTTTTGAAATTACTCTCAAGACTTCACCTTATCCTTTCTCAATGCATCATTCCTTTGAATTTTCTGCTTATTTAATGTTTTAAAAAATTTTGAACCAATTAACTCCTTTAGGTACCCTAATATTAGATTGGTTAGTAGTATTTCACCACTTGAAGTGAAGATGAGAAATAGAAAAAAAAAATGTTATCTTCTCTGCCATTCCCTTTTACCCTTGGTTCCAGATTTGAGTCAAGCCTCACTTCCTACTTGAGAGACTCTGGGATTGTTGCAGCGACAAGTCAGCCTGCATCCCTCTGACATGTCTACTATACTGCCTAACTGGTAGCTTTCTCTTTATATCTTTATAACTTAACTCCCCAAACAGATTTTAATCTCCTTCAACAGAGACCACAGTATAACACAGACCTCTTCTATTTAGCAGGTAATCAACTTTTGCCTGATTACTGACCCTAGCCTAAAGTTTCATTACCTTTTAACAATTCATGTTTCCCTTTCATACAAACAAAAAAAAATCTCATCTCTCGCTACCAATTCACACCACAATGATGGCCAGGTAACAACAAGTGTTGGTGATAATGTGGGGCTATTAGAACCATACTACATTGGCTTATAAAAATGTCTGGCAGTTCCTGAAAAGACTAAACATAGAGATACCATGTGATCCAGCAATTTCACTACTAGTTATAAACCCAAGAGAACTGCAAGACTACGTCCACACAAAAACTTATAAAGGAATGTTCACAACAGCATTATACATATTGAAAGGAAATAACCAAAATGTCCATCAACTGATGAATGGTTAAATAAAACATGGTATATCTATACAATGGGATATTATTTGGCTGCAATATGGATGAACGGTAAATATATTATGCTAAGTAAAAGAATCCAGTCACAAAAGTCCACAAATTATATGATTCCGTTTACATGAAATGTATAGAACAGGCAATAGAAAATAGACTAGAAAATAGACTAGTGTCTGCCTAGGACTGGAGGGAAAGAGGAGAATGGAGAGTGACTGTACCTGCCCTTTTGGAAAGTGGTAAAATGTTCTAAATTTAGGTTGTGGTGATGGTTTTAAAACATGGTAAATATACTAAAAACCCCTAAATTTTATACTTTAAATAGGTAAATTTTAGGCCAGGCGTAGTGGCTCATGCCTGTAATCCCAGCACTTTGGGAGGTCAAGGCGGGCGGACCACCTGAGGTCGGGAGTTCCACACCAGCCTGACCAACATGGGGAGACCCCATCTCTACTAAAAATACAAAATCAGCCAGGCGCGGTGGCGCATGCCTGTAATCCAGCTACTCGGGAGGCTGAGGTAGGAGAATCGCTTGAATCCGGGAGGCAGAGGTTGCAGTGAGCTGAGGTCACGCCATTGCACTCCAGCTTGGGCAATAAGAGCAAAATTCAGTATCAAAAAAAAAAAAAAGTAAATTTTATGGTATGTGAATTATATCTCAGTAAAGATTTTTTAATTGTCTTTAAATTTCCTTTCTCTTGCTACATGTCTACTGCCTCTGCAGGTCCACATCAGCCAACAAGGCTTTCTTGAGTTTAATTGTGAGAATTGTTATTACCAACATAATAGGCACAAAAGTATTTTTTCTACAACAGAAAGGAGGAGGGAACAACCCCTAGAGTTTAATATGGGAAAGGTATCAATTATTTCAATATATTATTTTTGCTTACAAAGACATAAGAGGGGAAGCTTTATCTAATGCTTTGATCAGAAATGAAATATTATAACTTCAAAAGTTCTGACTATTGATAAAGTTGGAAATCTTAAGTGGGTGGATCTTCTGTCAAGGAAAATACCCCATGCACCTCTCTGGTTTTGAAAGAAAGGTCCAAGATTTAGAGACGAAAGGAGACGGGGGAAATCCCAAGCATGCCTTATAAAACAGTAGATGCTCCTATTTAAGATAGCAAATTAAGAGAGAGCGATTGGCCGGGCATGGTGGCTCACACCTGTAATCCCAGCACTTTGGGAGGCTGAGGCAGATGGATCACCTGAGGAAGGAGTTCGAGACCAGCCTGACCAACATGGTGAAACCGCATCTCTACTAAAAATACAAAAATTAGTGGGGCGTGGTGGCGGGTGCCCATAATCCCAGCTACTCGGGAGGCTGAGGCACAAGAATCGCTTGAACCCAGGAGGCAGAGGTTGCAGTGAGCCAAGATGGCGCCACTGCACTCCAGCCTGGGCAACAAGAGCAAAACTCCACCTCAAAAAAAAAAAAAAAAAAAAGAGAAAGCGATTGAAGCCTGTAATATGGCTGCAAGTTTGGAACCTGGCCAGTAAACAGTAGATTCTCCGTGGCAGAGAACAGCAGATGAATTTTGAGAACAGTGGTGTCTAACACTCAAGTTTGAACTTGTTGCCTGTTCTGTAACTACTTTTGAGAATCCCAAACCTTCTATCAAAGTTAAGACACAACACCCTTACAATAACTGTATTTTGCCAAGCATGAATAAAAAGAACCTTGAAAATAAGCCCTCAGAGCCCCTCCTGAAGACTGACAACTGAGCAAGAGTTTTGGATGAGGCATGATAAGAGAACCTAAACATTCTTCTTCCCTTCGGAAATTCTTAGAAATTTGAGAAAGACGCTAAATCTCTAATCAGCATCGCCTTGGGTTTGAATCACTTTATCTGGATATGAAAGAAAACAGTGACCAGGCACAGTGGCTCACACCTGTGATCCTAACACTTTGGGAGGCCAAGGTGAGAGGACAGCTTAAGCCCAGGAGTTTGAGACCAGCCTGGGCAACACAGTGAGACCTTATCTCCACAAAAAATAAAATAAAATCAGCCAAGTGTGGTAGGACACACCTGTAGTCCCAGCTACTTGGGGTGCTGGGGTGAGAGGATCGTTTGAGCCTAGGAGGTCAAGGTTTCAGTGAGCTGTGATCGCACTGCTGCACTCCAGCCTGGGTAATAGAGCGAGACCCATCTTAAAAACAAACAAGCAATGCAGAAGATTGGTCTTAAGGACATTCAGATTACATTTCAGTTTCCAAACATACTTTTTTTTTTTTTTTTTTTTTTTTGGAGACCAAGTCTCGCTCTGTCTCCCAGGCTGGAGTGCAGTGGCGCAATCTCAGCTCACTGCAACCTACGCCTCACAGGTTCAAGTAATTCTCCTGCCTCAGTCTCTCAAGTAGCTGGGATTACAGGCGTGTGCCACCACACCCCACTATTTTTTTGGTATTTTAGTAGAGACAGGGTTTCGCCATGTTGGGCAGGCTGGTCTTGAACTCCTGACCTCAAGTAATTAGCCCGCCTTGGCCTCCCAAAGTGCTTGGATCACAGGTGTGAGCCACGGAGCCCAGCCGGTTTCCAAATATACATTTTAATTATAATTCTGAATATCCTTTTCTTTTTTTTTTTTTTTTTTGAGACGGAGTCTCGCTCTGTCGCCCAGGCTGGAGTGCAGTGGCGGGATCTCGGCTCACTGCAAGCTCCGCCTCCCGGGTTCACGCCATTCTCCTGCCTCAGCCTCCCAAGTAGCTGGGACTACAGGCGCCCGCCACTACGCCCGGCTAATTTTTTGTATTTTTAGTAGAGACGGGGTTTCACCGTTTTAGCCGGGATGGTCTCGATCTCCTGACCTCGTGATCCGCCCGCCTCGGCCTCCCAAAGTGCTGGGATTACAGGCGTAAGCCACCGCGCCCGGCCCCTGAATATCCTTTTCTAATCATACTTCTTAAACATGCTAGTCTCTCCATATTAAGAATCACTGTTCTAGGTCCTACAGGTCAAAATATCAGGATTTCAAGACAAGATTGCAGACTTCAAAGGTGTCTTCCCTAATCTTTTCATTGGTACATTCATTTCATCCTAATGAAAAGAGGATGGATTCTAACAGAAATGGTGAAGACTTACTTTGAATTATAATACTAGGCGAACACATCAAAGCTGAATATATCAGCCAATCTACAGGAGAGAACTGTCAACATATGAAGGAGACAGCTAATTGGCTCTTCTATGCAAAGTCAGCTTTTAAAATGACAAACTCTTTTCTCCCAAGATAAAAGCATGCCCAAATGGCTACAAATTAAAGATTACAACACAGAGGAAGCTCGTACTTTCAACCTCTCTTGACAACAATTACAGTACTTTGGATTTAACTCAATGGCCTTAATTGGTATATACCAATTTTAAAACTGCCTTATTGTAATCCTGAGGTATGCTTTGAACTCTTGAGGCTTTCAGGAAAGGCATGAAAAGGCCCAAAATAAAATATAAAACTGAATCTCAATTTGCTGTCTTACACAGAAAGTTCTGCTTCTTCCCAAGATTTTTATTCCTTGTCTAGACTCTACACTAAAAAAGTATTAAGATTAAATGTTATTCTTTGAATTAACTACAAATATTGTGGAGAGGGAAGTAGAAATAAAATGAAAAACTGGCAGGGTAGTGGTGGTGGTGGTTGGTGGTCTAATGATACACTAATAGACCAGCAAGCTCACATAATCTAGAAATAATTTATTTTTCCCAACTTGCTCAATTGCTATTATCCACATTAATGGATTTTTTCGTTTTTAGTATTTCATAAATTTGTCTTATCTCTCCTACCTTCTAGTGTTCTTAGGTGCAAGAAGGTTGTGATGTGCCTTACAGAGAAAAAAATGTGTATTAGGTAAGTTTCTTTCATGCATGAGTTATAGTGTTGGCTGTGAGTTCAATGTTAATGAATCAACAAGCGGGTACATCCAAAATATGGAACAGGAAATCTGCTGATCTGTATGTGAGGCCTCCCCTGGAGAGAGCTAAAGTAATATCCAGAGTACATAATGAAGCTATAGATACAATGGAAAAGCAATTAAATCTGTGGATTCATGAGATGACAACCCATAAAAAATAAAAATCACAGTGGATAGCACTGATGTGAGGCTGAAAGCCAAAAACACTGTCACATTACACAGGGTCAAGAAAATGTTAAACCCTTCTCAACTAGTGTTTTATTACCAAGAAATATTGTGTATATTAGTAAGAAATATATATTAAATAGGCTGTCTAGACAGAAACACACATAAAAAAAGGTTATGCGTCAGCTGGCTGATAAAAATCTCTTGACCACAGC
Source organism: Homo sapiens (assembly GCF_000001405.40). Taxonomy (NCBI): domain Eukaryota; kingdom Metazoa; phylum Chordata; class Mammalia; order Primates; family Hominidae; genus Homo; species Homo sapiens. The sequence goes on along the minus strand of NC_000004.12, from coordinate 88,600,366 downwards.
CTACAAGAACCTAATCCTGTATTTCCTCAGAAACAATGGCTCTGTATTCACTAATATGGTATTCACCATGACTTTACAGAACCTAACTATATACAGAGTATAACAAGTCCCTTCTTTGTTTACTTAAGCTTATTTATTTATGCTTGTTTGAATCAGGTTTCTTTCACTTGCAATAAAAAGAAACTCCTGACTGATAATATTAATAATGACATTATTAATAATAACAGCAGATAAGACCTGATTTGAGCTTACTCTGAGTCTGGTACTTTTCTATGTGCTTCACAGATGTTGGCTCATTTCATCTTCTATGAGACAGGTACTGCCATTATCTCTAATTTACAGATGAAGAAAGTGAAACTAACAAAAAAAAGATGAAGTAAAGGAAAAGAAAGAGACACTATGCTGTGCTGTATAGTAAGGAGCTTAGAAAGTAGATAACCAAAAGGCCAGACTTCCCAATGTGTCTGCACCACTCTCCAGAGAAAACAGGGACCCTGATCAGTCAACCTGGCTATCTGACCCGCTAAGTAATTCTTTCCTAAAAGTGGATGGGTGGATCAGATTCCATAACAGTTGTCACTAAATTCACCCAACCAATTGCCTTGCTTAGCAAGCAACCTTAAATAACTTGGTTTCTAGGGCAGATTCTACTACAGGGATAGAATACTGTGACCAGGTAACCAAAGCATCTCAGTCTTATTAGGATTTCTAATTCTCATTATTAATTTGGCGTCCTGGGTCTATCAGCTTTTTTTGTAGTTTATCTGGCACGAGTCAGTCCTTGAGAGTCATCTGAGTTCTGGGTGCTTTGGCCAAGCACAATCCTGTGTAAACAGCCTGAAGTATGGCCTCATCCCTGACTGACTAGTAAAAACAATTTATGAAAAAAGATAATAAAAAGGACTATTGTTCAAGAAAACTTCAAAAATTCTTCCAACTGAGTTACAGTAATGGAATCTTCAATTGGTCAAATAAAAACTGCCCACCAAGAGAATTAAATAGCAACCACAAAAAAGATGTGTATCTGTAAATAAACTATCAATCCTAACTATAAATACGGCCTAGGTCATCACAATGCTCTGCCGGAACTAAAGAAAAAAGCAACTAAAATCATCTAGCTTTCAGGAGAGAAGTTCAACACATTGGAGAGAAGCCAGCCATTAGCACAGCTTTCACTTCAAAGTACACTCCAGTTGGACCCCTAAATCTTGTAGCTGCTGATGTCCATGACTTTAAAGGTCTAGTTTCAGCAACGGTCTGCATCGCTGGGCATTTTGATCTCCAAGGTCCTTACACCCATTTTTCCTCATTCACTCTCTTGCTTGCTCCTAGAAGAGCAGAATCTTTTATTTTCCTTCAAAATACACAATTATGAAATTCGCTGCAAAATATAGGACTACACTTCCCTCAGCACCTACACCAGCCCCGCTTGGCTGCATTTCCTGCCTCTTATTTCCCCATGACAAAACAAAAGGAAGGACTACTTTTGAAGTACAACTTTCTCTCAATGTCAACCTGGCACTTTCCTGAGTCCTTCTCATCTATTCTTGGTAAGAGATTCAAGATAATCTTAGCAGAGCTTAAGGGTCAAAGGAACTAAAATCCAAGCCCTACATTAACCACGTTAGCTGTGAAACCTGAGGAAAGATGTTTACCCACCTTAAGCTCCAAAATCAGGAGAAGGTGCTAGAGTGTTGTGAGGATTAATGAGAAAATGCATGTAAAAAGGGCTTAGCATGGTGCCTGGCATGTAGTAGTAAGTGACCAGTAAATGTCAGCTGCTTTAGTCAATGTTACTCCTACTCCTAGTGCTCTTCTTTGAGATTTCAGCAGACAGGACAATTCCCAAAAGAGGATGGGATTGTGACTCCTGTCTTCCTCACTGCAATTAGCACTAGCTGCATTCTGCCAAATCTGCACTACAGCAAAGTAGCATCACAACCATCTGCCATAACTTTCATGAAAGGGATTTGAGGTTGATAGGAGGAAGTTTTTTTGTGTGCATTTGCTTTTAAATTCTGGAGAGGGCATGGGTGGAGGGCGGTGGGGAGATAAATCTCTTTTTACTAGCTCTAGTGAGTTGAATGCTAAACGACAACCTTCAGTTCCTAAACTTTGTCTTATGATAAGACTATGCGACTATGCACACAGCAGCCTAACAACTCATTCTTATCCCTTTGTTTGAAAGGCACTGAGACCAAAATAACACTCAGGCAGGACTTCTAATCTCATTTAAAATAGGGATAAGCTTCCTTTCAAGTAAGCTTAGAAGCAATTACCTGAATGTTGTATATATGAAGAGGGTCTCTTTCAACAGCAGGAAAAGACAATGTCCAAAACCTTCAGTGCTTTGCAGATACTCCCCAAATTCAGGCTTTAAATAAATGTAGGGCCAAAACTAAAATGCAGAATTAACTCTGGTAACAAAGAAGATTCATTTTAATGACTTGCCTTATTATCAAAAATGTTCCTACCAAAGACAGAAATGTCATAGAAGGCAAAGAGAAGTTTTCAACAACGTGAATCCACTCCTTGCTGTTTTCTCTCTCCTCCACTTTAGCTGGACTTTGGTCCTCTGACCCCCTCAGCCAACACAGGAAACACTCCTACCCTTCCCCGGATCATCCCCTCTAAGGTGGTGCCTTCTTCACTACCTGGTGCTAGGCTTTGTGAAGCTGGAAGAATGACTTCTCTGCAGTCTGCTTAAGCTGTGGACTGCCTTCAAAAGACACCAACGAGACTGGCAAGAATTGAAAAGTCTAACAATACCAAGTCAAGGATATACAACAGCCAGGGCCCTCATAGACAGCTGGTGGGAATATAAACTGGCATAAGCACTTGGCAAAACAAGTTGGCATTCTCCAGTGAAGATGAAGATGTGGATACCTCCCCACACAGTAATTTCACTGCTGGGCATATGACCAGCATTATCCAACTTATTAAGCATCTATGGTGCTCCTGTACTATACTAATAAATGGAGATACAAAGATGAGTAAAATCTGGAAACTTGGAACTTTCTGTGATAATGGAAATGCTATATATTTGCACTGTCCACTATGGTAGCCAGTAGGTATATGTGGCTATTGAGTACTTGAAATGTGACTAATACAAGTGAAGAACTGAAATAGTTAATATTTTATTTTAATAAATTTTAATGTAAGTAGCCCTAGGTGACTAGTGGCTATCTTACAGTCCAATGCAGTGAGAAACTCATGAACATATGCACCAAGATACACGTATAAGAATGTTCATTCCAGCATTATTTGAAATAGGAAAAAAACAAAAAACAAATATCCATCAATAAGAAAACAGATAGTGTGGCACATGCATAAAACAGAACACTGTACAGCAGTAAAAAATAAACTCCATCTATAAGCATCATTGTAACTAAATCTTAAAAAGTGTTGAGTCACAGAAGAATTCAGAGTATGATGCATTTTTACAAAATTCAAACACAACTATAACAAATATATTATTTGGAGATTAAGAATCATCAGTGGTAACAAAGCTATGAAGAAAAGCAAATCACAAACACAAAATAGCGGGTAATGATTGTGGAGGCAGTAGGAATAGAGGGAACAATCTGGAAGGAGCACAAAGGGAGACATTTCAATAGCATGGCTGATATTCTGCTTCTGTCCTTTTATTGTTGTTTCTTAACATATATGACATGCATTATTTTATGCTTACAAATACTTCACAAAACAAACAAAAATGCAAAGCGCTGTTGAGGCAGTATGGCTGCTTCTCCTACCTCCTCCACTAACACCCTGCCAACGTGCAGACTGGGAGTTTCTCCATGAAGGAACCAGGTTTTACTCATCTTTGTGCCTTCCATTCTCAGCAGAGTACAAGAGCACAGCAGAGGCTTGATAAATGCCTAGTGAACTGACCCCCATTCTTAGAAAACCTGAATTTCCACCACCTCAACTTGTAACCACTTTTATTTTCCAGATAATGTTAAAGATCCCCCACCCTGAGTAATAATAAAACCAGTTCACTTACACAGAAACACATGTCCCTGCCACCAACAAGTACTATTTCTAAATGGAGTAAATGTCTAAAGGGGACAGAGTTATATTATCAAATTTACCACCTTATTAAAAGTCCATTTGATCTAACCTCTAAGCAAAAGACTTACATTCCTAAATTCATTTTAATGGCAGCTAAGGCCTTCAGAGGCCAAGTAACTTTGGTCCACTAAGAATTAAGTGCTTGGCCAGGCGCGGTGGCTCACGCCTGTAATCCTAACACTTTGGAAGGCCGAGGCAGGCGGATCACGAGGTCAGGAGATCAAGACCATCCTGGCTAACACAGTGAAACCCCGTCTCTACTAAAAATACAAAAAATTAGCTGGGCGAGGTGGTGGGCACCTGTAGTCCCAGCTACTCGGGAGGCTGAGGCAGGAGAATGGCATGAACCCCGGGGGGCGGAGCCTGCAGTGAGCCGAGATCCCGCCACTGCACTCCAGCGTGGGCGACAGCCAGACTCCCTCTCAAAAAAAAAAAAAAAAAAAAAAAAAAAGAATTAAGTGCTTGAAGCAGAGACCAGAAACCAGGTCTCCTACTTCTTGGGCTCACCTTGTTCTCTTCACTATCTTAGAGCAGCAGGAAGGCACTGAGATTTGTTTAGGTCCCTCTCTAGGTAGCTACCCTAGCTTGAGTTGATGAGAGTATTAAACAGGATAATGCATGTAAAGGACTCCATTTACAAGATGAAAAACTGAGGTCCAGAAAAATTAAGTAACTCACCACAGGTCACACACTTGGCATTGGACTAGAAGCCAGAAATATTCCACACCTTGCAGTTCTGCAAGTTAAAGAAATAATAAATAACATTAGTATGGAACTCTGTTGTGTCTTCATGTTACTGTAAACAAAAAGACAGGAGTTAACCTCTGAAAATAAGAATATCTTTAAATTACTCAATCTTGAATATTCCCCACGCATTGTATCTCAAGACAGGAGTTTGGTTAAATACCAGTAAGATAACCTCTAACCAGTTATAAAGACATCAATCACCTCTAAAAGTGAACTAGAGATATAGATATCACCTTATAAAAATTCCTGACATTTGATAGGGAGTAGTAAAAATGGAATTACTTTAAAATCTCCCATTTTTGTTAGAGAAAATTTTGGAAAATAATTAAATTTTGTCTATTTTCTTTATTTTTCCATGTATGACACATAGCAGCTTGTTTTGCCACAACTGTTATGAAGACTGTCTCCTTTCATTCCTTTTCTTTTTTTTTTTTTTTTTTTTTTTGAGACAGAGTCTGGCTCTTTCACCCAGGCTGGAGTGCAGTGGCCGATCTCGGCTCACTGCAACCTCTGCCTCCCAGGTTCAAGCGATTCTCCTGCCTCAGCCTCCCAAGTAGCTGGAATTACAGGCGCCCGCCACCACGCCCAGCTAATTTTTCTATTTTTAGTAGAGAAGGGGTTTCACCATGTTGGTCAGGCTGGTCTCCAACTCCTGACCTCAAGTGATCCACCCGTCTCAAGCCGCCCAAAGTGCTGGGATTACAGGTGTGAGCCACTGCGCCCAGCCAGTCACTGCACCCGGTCTTTCCCTTTTCATTACCACATCCTCCATCATGCAAAATGAGAAGAGATCATCTCAGAGAGATACCTAAAGTATCTCAAAAGAAAAAGTCCTCCATGATTTTAAGATATTTTTGTCAAGCACTTTAGGAGGCCCAGGCGGGTGGACAGCCTGAGCCCAGGGGTTGGAGATCAGCCTGAGCAACATGGCAAAACCCCGTTTCGTCTTTTGGCGAAACCAAAAACTACAAAAAATTAGCTGGGCATGGTGGTGCACGCCTGTGGTCCCAGCTACTTTGGAGGGTAAGGTGGCAGATTCGCTTGAGCCTGGGAGGCGGAGGTTGCAGTGAGCCGAGATCGCACCAGTGCACTCCAGCCTGTGCAACAGAGCGAGACCCCCCATCTCGAAAGAAAAGATATTGTCATAACTTTATTTCTACCTCTCTATGCAGAAAATCCCATTCGATCTGGAGAATAGTACTTTTACTTATAAAACTGAAGCATAACTATCTTGTGTCTCCAGTAGGGGTACTACTACTCTCATTAAGTATAAAAAAAGTTTTTAATTGGTCATACAAATCTTAAGAAATTTAAATTTGGTCTTCAGAATGAAATGCTATAACGAATGGCTTCAAGCACACAACATGGAACATTCTGAAATCCCTGTTTCTTTTTCAAAAAGTAAACTCCAGCTACTTACTGAACAAGAACTGGATGCTAGTGCTAATGTGCTAATTTTGTTTTTCATGCCAAAGGAGTTCTGCCAAAGAGGTTTCTAACCTGTCCTCCTTGTTCCCTGCATTATACTTTTTACAGAAAGTTCCTAGCCTCGAAGGCGGTACGACCATGATGTAAAATATGTAATTCAATTATTTTGCTTTAGGATATGCAATCCATGTACTTTGCTTTTCTGATTTATAATGCTACTCCCTCCTCCCCCAGGGTAAAGGAAAGTACAAAAGGAGAGAGCTTCACAGTAATCTGCCGACTAAAACATGATACCCGATCACCGCATTTAAAACTTTTTATTTTTTCATTTCTCTCAAGTCTAGAGTTGAAAAATCAGCTCACTTGATCTTATCTAATCATCAAATAAAAGGTTCTAGAAATAGCTTCTTATTTGTGGAAAGAGCCAGAAGACACATACAAATGGAAGAGAGCTCTTGAATCGTCTTTCCCAAAGCATTCTATGCGTGATGAATGCAAGCAAAATCCTGGAAGGCTTTTCTCTGAATTAGGTACTTCCTAATTGAGCTCATTTGAAAGCTGATGTAAAATGCAATCAGAAAGCAGCCAGAAACAGTGACAGACCAACAGCAAAGTTCAAATACTTATTCCCTGGAGCTCATGCTGCATACACATATTCCGTGCACAGTCGCATTAGGTACTGTCTCCATAGGCTCACCTGTTTCAGGTTACACATGCTCCTCTCGGTCTGGTTGCCCTGGTTTGCCCACTCCACACATTCACAAATGACTCAAGTCTCACCTGCCCCCGGCCGTCCCAGCTCCTGACACCCCCGCGTCGGTCCGCACCGACGTGTCGGCGTACACACACACACACACCCGTACACACGTGTCCGCACACACCCTCGCCCCCGGCCCCGCCCAGGAGGCGGACCCGGGAGAGGCGAGCCGGCCCGGCCTCCGCGAAGTGGGTGGTGCCGGGCCCCGCAGCCCTGCCGGCGCTGTCATCGCGGACGCCGTGCACCGCGTCCTCGGCGCAAACTCCTCGCGGCCGCTGAGGTTCCCCAAAATGCCAGGGCCTCGCCAGCTCCCATTTCAATTGAAAGCGTCCGCGCCCCTCACTGCACGGAGGTCCCTGGAACCCCAGAATTTAAATAGGGGCAGGGGGCGAGCATAGGGACTATCCTCCTTTTGACTTTCTGCGTCGCAATTCCTCCCGGGCGGCAGGGCGGGAGGGCGGCCGAGCGCGGGCGGGAGGCGCTCCCATTTTGAAGGCTTGTCTCGCCTTTCCCGGCGCGGGGCTCTCTGACCGGAGGGCGAGCCCACGAGAACGCCAGGGAGGCGTACGCAGGGTACTAAGGGCGCCGCGCCCCAACCTCCCCGCGCCCCAGACCCAGGTCGTCTCTGGAGGTGCCTGCAGCCCCCGCCGCCGGAGCCACGGGAGGAGCCGCAGCCGCCCCTCCGGGAGCCGCGCGCTGACTGCAGTGCCAGGCGGAACGCGGCCCAGCGCGGCTGCAGCTCCGCCGTACCCCCCTCCCTGGAACCCCGGCCCCCGCCCTGCGCACCTCGGCAGCAGCCGAACCGCAGCTTGGGACTCCGACTGTCACAGCCCCTCTCGCCGGACCCGGGGTTTCTCCGTTTTCGGCGTCACAATAATAAGGAAGTTTCCCCGCAAGCCTGCGGGCGGCGGAATGCGCTGGGTGAATGGCTTCGCACCGGGCCAATGGGCGCCGTTCTGGGATGGGCCCGCGCCAATGGCGGCCGCCGTGGCACGGGCTGGAGGCGGGGCGGCAAGGTCCGCGGGCAGGAGGAGGGGAGAGGCCCAGGCCCCAGAGCCAGGCGCAGGCTGCCCGAGGTGACAGGACTCGAGGGCCCGGCGCGGGGACAGCGGCACGGGTGTGTCAGCCGAAATCGGACTGCAAGACATAGAGCGTTGACGCTGAAATAAGATTGCTTTTCACTGGCGGGGAAGCGAGCTGGACCGATCAGCGGTTGCCTATTCAGGTTCTGGACTCTGGTTTTTATTATTTATGAAGAGGTGACCGAAAGCCTTGGGCACGGGGGAAAAAGCTGGAGGGTGACAATTGAGGGAGAGTGCGCTAGTCTTCTGCTTTACTCCCCTTCGTAGGACTGTAGGAAGCGCGGCGCCGGCCCGCGGCGCTGCGCGGTGGGAGAGGCGGGGAAGGAGGTACGCGGCAGCCGCCGGCGCTCTTCTGGAGAGGTGGGGATCGAAGACCGGCACGGGGCTGCGGAAGAAAGGCGGGCCTGGGGGAGGCTGGAGGGTGGACCCGGGGGGAGCATAGCAAGAAGAGTCTGAGCACCAGATCTTAAAATCTTGTAATCTGAAAGACACTCTGTGGCCTATACCCAGTAACGGATTTTTTAAAAGTTTGTCCTCTTCCACTTTTCCCTAGCGCCGAATCCCAGAGCTTCCTCCCCCTCCCCAAGGTCACTAGTGCTTTCATACTTGCCCTAGACCTGATCTGATCCACAGCTAATCTTTTGCAGAAAACCTCAGAAAGGTGACTTCATGTGTCTGCCCCCCTTAAATGTAAAATGCAGAACACTGGCACGGTACTGCTTTAATCCAAAGGAATAACTCTCCCAGTGGAAGAATTTCTATAACCTGGCATTTGAAGCAGGAAGGCCCTTTGAGGATAGATTCTTACCAAGGACATTCAAATCACCTCAGGTCTGCAATCGCTCGTCCTGAGAACCTAACAGACTGACCAAGTAGAAAAGAAAGTTTCAAGGAGTGGTGTATCCTGGGGATGAGACGTTGTTGGCTGACTGACAGTGTTGAGCCCTCCGTGAAATAATGCAAATTGTCCAGTACACTGAGACAAGAAAGCTAAAAAAGCAGAATCTAAGTTATCAGGTCATCTAAGAAAAAATCCAAACCTTTGAAATTTGGATCACACTTGACACGTTTAGAAACACTGGGGATGGCCAGGCGCGGTGGCCCATGCCTGTAATCTCGGCACTTTGGGAGGCCGAAGCCGGTGGATCACTTGAGGTCAGCAGTTCGAGACCAGCCTGGCCAACATGGTGAAACCTTGTCTCTACAAAAAAAAATACCAAAATTAGCCGAGTAGGGTGGTGTGCGCCTGTAGTCCCAGCTACTCAGGAGGCTGAGGCAGGAGAATCACTGGAACCTGGAAGGCGGAGGTTGCAGTAAGCTGAAATCAAGCCACTGTACTTACTCCAGCCTGGGCAACAGAATGAAACGTTGTCTCAAAAAAAAAAAAAAAAGAAAGAAAAAGGAAAAAAGAAACACTGGGGACAAGAGTAACACAATTCACTTATATTCCAGATATGTGGCAGTTTCACAAAAGTTTAGTCTATTACAAAGATGCAATCCCAATTTAGAGATGCTGTTGGCAAAAGAACTGGTTAAATGCCCAAAGAGGAGTCTGGTAGGAAGACGAAGGAGTCCGGTACTTGCAAAGGAGAAAGTGAGAGATCCTATTGTTAGGTGTCACATATGAGGTTTGTAATCAATCAGTGTTTGGGTTGATATGTCTGGCCCATGGCTCAAGTGTTTTTCTTTTTTTGTTGTTGTTTTTTTGTTTTTTGTTTTTGAGACGGAGTCTCGCTCTGTCGCCCAGGCTGGAGTGCAGTGGCGCAAACTCGGCTCCCTGCAAGCTGCGCCTCCCGGATTCACGCAAGTCTCCTGTCGCAGCCTCCTGAGTAACTGGGACTACAGGCGCCCACCACAACGCCCGGCTAATTTTTGTATTTTCAGTAGAGACGGGGTTTCACCATGTTAGCCAGGATGGTCTCAATCTCCTGACCTCGTGATCCGCCCACCTCGGCCTCCCAAAGTGCTGGGATTACAGGCGTGAGCCACCGCGCCCGGAGTTTGTTTTTTTGAGAAGGAGTCTCGCTCAGTTGCCTGGGATGGAGTGCAGTGGCGCGATCTCTGCTCACTGCAACATCCACCTCCCCGGCTCAAGCAATTCTCCTGCCTCAGCCTCCCGAGTAGCTGGGATTACAGGCGCTCACCACCACACCCGGCTCATTTTTGTACTTTTAGTAGAGGCGGGATTTCACCATGTTGGCCAGGCCGGTTTAGAACTCCTGACCTCAAATCATCTGCCCACCTCGGCCTCCCAAAGTGCTGAGATTACAGGCGTGAGCCTCCGTGCCGGCCGGCTCAAGTGTTTTTCATATGAAATTTCATCTTGAGGAAAAGGATGGTTATCAAAGACTCAAGCCTAGAAATGGGATAGGAGCAATGTATAAATAACAAGTTAGGATACTGTAAGCTTCTTTTACCAAATAAATAGCCAAACCCTGAGAACTTACATAGAACTTACATAGAACAGTAAAGATACCACAGTACTTCGATTTATTTTTTTTCATTGGGACAACATATAATGACAATTTCCTTAGCAAGCATGTCCTGCTTCAAAATGGCTTTAAATGGCTCCAGCATCAGCAATAGTCTTAACAGCAGATACGTAAACTGTTTTGAAGAGGCCATGGTTTACTTTTTCCTTCCATTTCTATAGCCCTGTCTTCCATCCATTTCTTTCTGCATTCTCATATATTCTCTAACAAACGTACTATATACTGAGCACCTACAATAATGTCAGCCCCTGTGAATACATTGGTAAGCAAAACAGTACAGTCTTTGTTGCCATGAAAGGGGAGACAAACATTAACCAAATAATTGTACCAAGGAATATATACTTGCTAACCTGTATAAATTTTATAAAAGAAAAACATTCATGTTAAAAATAAAAGGCTTAATAAATTCTAGGCTCATGCCCCTGTAATCCCAGGGCTTTGGGTTACAGGCTGAGGCAAGAGCATCGCTTGAGGCCAGGAGTTTGAGACCAGCCTGTGCAACATAGTGAGTCCCTGTCTCTCCAAAAAATAAAAATAGGCATGGTGGGGCACGCCTTTAGTCCTAGCTACTTGGGAGGCTGAGGTGAGAGAATAGCTTGAGCATAGGAATTCGAGGTTGCATTGAGCTTTGATGGCACCACTGCACTCCAGCCTGGATGACAGAGGAGACTCCAAATACACACACACACACGCACACACGCGTGCACATACACACACACACACACATATAACCATAACTTTTTTTTTAAGAGACAGGATCTTGCTATGTTGCCCAGGCTGGCTTCAAACTCCTAGACTCAAGCAATCCTGCTGCCTTAGCCTCCCGAGGAGCAAGGATTAAACTAACCATAACTTTTGACAGGGGGACAGGACCATGTGGTTCAGCTCTATCACTGGTTAGACAAGGTATGCCCAGTGGCAAGGGGATGGTGCCCAGGGCTGCTGCACTTCTACCTGAACACATGCTGATTTCCTCCATTAGTTACCATTCACTTCTTAAAATACATCTATTTTCAAATGAAACCATTTTTCAATAGAATGGTAATACTGTTTAATGATAATTGTTTTCCTTTCTTCCCTTTGTTTAATTTACTTGCCTTGCAGACAAATATTTACTTGGTAAACTTTGAAAGAGATAGATTTCTGATATCTTGGATGAAATCTGTGGAAAAAAACAGGCTACCCAGGACATTCTGTCTCTCAGATACACCATTGAAGAATAAATATCTTTAGGAGGGAAAAGCACTGACTGATTATTTGACAAGTAAAAAGTATGTGTACCTTGTATGGTTATGTAATGACAAAGGTGTTTCTTGGTCCCCCACGTCCAAAAGAAGTACTTACTTTCTCAGTCTAGTCAGTACTTAATGGAAAAATCAGTCTATCTATACCCAGACTAAACTTATTAAAAACTGTCCTGTAACACACAGCATTGATTTATTAATATGAAACAACTTAGAATAAAAACATTATGGTAAATCAGTATTACCATCAAATAATCTTTTAATATTATTGAATATGTTCCACCTGTAGTACTGCTAGACAAGAAGCATCATTCCTGACTACAAAGAGCTTACAGCCCTTATGATTATTTCTCTATCTTCCTTGAAACTATTCATGGTTTGTTTGCATTTTTTTCTTATCAAGCCATTTGGATGAAGCATAAGAATCTTACCTTAATTATGAGAAACTCATTGTTTTCATATAAATTAAAATGTATTAATGATAACAGGATTGGATGGTTGAACATTTTCTAAGAAAACCTTTAAGTTGAGCATTAGCTGGTCTCTGAAGATTTCATCCAATAAAGCCTTTAGGAAGTGAAGTATTTCGTGAAGGTTCCTCCTTTTAAAAAGTCCCTTAATATGTGCTCTTAGAAATGGCATCCCACATTTCACTATGACTGGACTGGCAAAATAAGTGCTTGGGCAAAAGCAGCAAAGATCACGTTTGTCATCATGTAGCTGCACAGAATACATGCATGTAACTGCCAAAAATCAGGCAGCTGTCTCACCCTTCTAGAGGCAAAGAAACATAGTCTTCCAAAATTTACTTGTGTAAAACCAAAATAAAATCATAAATGTGAAAAAAATCTCCTTCCTTTGAAGTTATACTAAATCTGGGTCAAAGGAAATTTAAGGAATTTTGTTATTTCCTAGAAAAGCTAAAGTGAACCTGTGGAATTTCAAGAAGGCATACCTATAACAATATTAGACAGCTTTATAGGTTGGCCATAAAAATCTGTAAACACAGCAAATATACCTAATAAATGGTTTGTTGTTATTACGTAATATGTTTAGTGACATTACATGATATGTTCAGTGACATTACATGGTATGTGAATTGTGTTGTCCCTTGTAACAATGCTCATGTTACAAAGCATGGTGCATTGATACAACATTTTTCCCAATCCAAGCAAAAGCAAAATCAGCTGCAATGTGTTGCCTCAGTTGATTTCTCCCTCTGATTTCTCCTGAATAAACCTGTACCTTTAGCATACCTCAGAAGAAGTAAGTAATCAGGGAGTTCAATGTGTAAAATCAATATATACTATAATATTATTTACTTAAGTCTGTAAAAAATAAAATAACATTGTCTGTGTTTCCAGACTTTACGGCCACCTTTTTATAAAGGTAAACTGGTATTTAACTTTCTGTTGACCTTCAGCATTTTATTTTCAGCCTACATATAGGTAAAAGCCCAGTGAAATCTGCCATTGTATTTACTTTTAAGTTGTTAACAGATTATTCTTCTCACAGATACTATAGATACTGTAATTGACTCTGTTTATCTCTTTCTGTTGGCTCTCGAAAGCCTAGAGCAAAATGTGTGGCCCATCTGTACAGAATCTTATTGCTTGCATTTTTAGAAGTAACCTCAAGGTTCATTTTAACTTTCTTATATCATTTTTCCCATTGTACTCATTTCCTTACCTACTTAAAAAAATGAAAAGCAACTTGTTTTTCTCTTCCCAAATATAAAATATATTTGCTATATGAAATGTGTTAAATACATATAAGAGAAAAGAAGAAAGTGAAATGATCTGTCCTTTTCACTGACCACATTTAGTTCTTGATAGTTTGGCATTTTCCAATGCATACATATACATTTTAAAAAGTGGCTTATTCGGCCAGGCGTGGTGGCTCATGCCTATAATCCCAGCACTTTGGGAGGCGGAGGCGGGTGGATCACCTGAGGTTGGGAGTTCGAGACCAGCCTGGCCAACATGGCAGAAACCCCATCTCTACTAAAAATACAAAATTAGCCGGGCATGGTGGCACATGCCTGTAATCCCAGCTACTCAGGAGGCTGAGGCAGGAGAATCACTTGAACCCAGAAGGTGGAGGTTGCGGTGAGCTGAGATCACGCCATTACACTCCAGCCTGGGCAACAAGAGCGAAACTCCGTCTCAAAAAAAAAAAAAAGAAAGAAAAAAAAAAAAAGTGGCTTATTCTACACATAATATTTATCATTCATCTCTGAATTTAACAGCATATATTGAACATCTTTAATAGAATCATATACTATTCTGCAACATCATTTTAAACAATTGCATGGCATACGCAAAACGGATATGCTGTCATTTAACCAACTTCCCCCTGTTGAATGTTTAAATTGCTTTCAATTCTTTACTGCTATAAACAATTGTGCAACATAGCTAAACACAGTGAATATATCTAAATATTTGGCCTCACCCTTGATTATATCAGTAAAGTAAATTCCTAAAAGTGGAATTGCTAAGTCAGATAGAATGCAGACTCTTAAGATTTTGTAGTTTGCCAAGTTTCCCTAACAAAAGATGGCACCAGCCAAACACACACACGATATCTGAGTGGCTTCTCTCTAGCCCCCTTACCAGTAATTTTTAAAAAATCTTTCTTATTAATTTTGTAAGTCATTTTAAGTCATTACTGATATATGTGAAATACAAACAAAGAAAAATGTTAAAATCTTCTAGTTAAGTAAAAAGCAATGTGTACACATCTAAACATTAGCTTAGGTTAACATGTTTTTAAATATTCATATCAAAAATCACCTAAATGCCTAAAAATTTATGATTAGGGTTGTTGTTCCTTTGCCAAAATTTTGTTTGGTGTCATATATTTCCCCCACCCCTCCCACATACCTGCCAAAAATAAAGTTTCCAGAAAGGAAGTTCTATACAAACTCAAATTGTTGTTCATCATTTTCATCTTTAGTACACATGCACAAGCCAATAAAAGTGAGTCAATATTTCACCAAGTTCCATAGCAAAAAAAAAAAAAAAAGCAAAGTATCAAAATTTGTCTCATCATCAATAGAATGATAGCCAGAGAAGACATTTTATTGTCCATTTCTCAAAAAGAAAACTTAGTGTCGTGATTTATATTATCCATCATGGTCCAATCACCTTCACTATCAGTCACTTCATCAATGTGCCCCATGCTTTATATAGGAAAACCACCTACTAACCAACTACAAGATGGACATGTACTTTGAGTACTTTTGTAACCTGCTGTGGTTGAATATTTGTGTCCCCACTAAATTCATATGTTGAAATCCTAACCCCCAGGGTGATGGTATTTGGAGGTGTGGGACTTTTGTAGGTGATTACATCATGAGAGTTGAGCCCTTGTGACTAGAATTAGTGCCCACATAAAAGAGACCCTATAGAGGTAGCTAGCCCCTTCCACCATGTGAGGACACAGTGAGAAGTCATCATCTGTGAACCAGCAAAAGGTCCTTACCCAACACCAAATCTGCTGGTGCCTTGATCTTGAACTTCTCACCCTCCAGAACTATGAGAAATAAATTTCTGTTTATAAGCTATCTAGTCTATGTATGGTATTTTGTTATAGTAGCCTTAACACACAAAGACACAACCTTTATGGGTGAAATATGCTATTCCATTCAAGTTGTCACCCAGATCCCTCTTGAATTAACTGGATAACATTTCAAGATATGTCTCTTAGTCCATTTTGTGCTGCTATACTAGAATACCACAGATGGGGTAATTTATAATGAACAGAAACTTACTGGCTCACAGTCTGGAGGCTAGGAAATTCATTATCAAGGTGCTGGCATCTGGCAAAAGCCTTCTTGCTGTGTTAACAAATGGCCAAAAGGTAAAGAGAGAGGAACTCTGTGTCCTCATGTGGTGGAAGAGCAGAAAAGCAAAGAGGCACAAACTCACCCTTTTTAAATGGCCTTAATCCCCCGCTGTGACAACTAAGCCCTCATGGCCTAATCACCTCTCTAAGATCCTACCTCTTAATACTGTTACAATGGCAATTTAATTTCAACATGAGCTTTGGAGGGGACAACATTCAAACGGTAGCAGTAGGTACATAACTGTCAGCATAGAATCAATTTAAATGACTTGCCCAATACCTGGAATGGAACGTGCACCCCGGGCCATGTTAGCTGTGTTCTAATTAACTGTGCTGATGTTTCTGAGGGTAAATGGCTTAGAATGTGTAGTCAGTTAAATAGTTTCCCTTCAAATTCATGTCTACCTGGAATCTCAGAATGTGCACTTATTTGGAAATAGGGTTGTTGCAGATGTCATTGGTTAAGATGAGTAATGCATCTATAAGCCAAAGAACACCAAGCCACCACCAGAAGTAAGAAGAGAGGCACAGAACAGATTCTCCCTCAGAGCTTCCAGAAGAAACCAATATTGCTGACACCTTGATTTCAAACTTCTAGCCTTCAGGATTGTGAGATAATAAATTCCTATTGTGTTAAGCCACCCAGTTTGTGATTCTTTAATATAGTAGCCCTAGCAAAGTAATATAAAAGGTAACTATGATGCTTTAAAAAGCATCAATTATAGGATTCAATGTAGTGTAGCTATGGCATCTGTCACCAGGTTAATTGCCAGAATTGACTGACTGCTCTGGCATCCTCCTAGTCCAGAGTTCCCTTCCTCTGAGAGCTCCATGTGTGTTCTTCCCAAAGTGTCAACTCAATCAAAAAGAATGACATTTCCAATCTGACAAAGTCTATTTTTAGTCAAGGTATGTGGGGAGCTGTACTCCCTGGCTAGAGCTTTCCAATAAGCACTGAAATCCCTTTGCAAGCAAATGTAGGTTAGCCAAATCTGTTTTTACAAAGCGCCCCTCTCCACCTGTGATTCTGTTAGAATATCAGTCAAATCATAGCTCCATATCAGTTTCACAGAAAGCATGTAGATTTATAAGATTAAACTTATATAAGCCTTGACCTTGATGAAGTCCTAGTCATTTCAAAGACAAGCCTTTATATTTTCTTTGATATTACATCAGAGCAGGTACTCCATAATTTATCATAGTAGAAGCTGAAAAATAATTACATATAATTACATTTTTTTTACTTTTTTTTTTTTTGAGAAGGAGTCTCACTCTGTATCCAGGCTGGAGTGCAGTGGTGTGGTGTGATCTCAGCTCACTGCAACCTCCACCTCCTGGGTTCAAGCAATTCTCCTGTCTTAGCCTCACAAGTAGCTGGAATTACAGGCACCCACCACCATGCCTGGCTAATTTTTGTATTTTTAGTAGAGACAGGGTTTTACCATTTTGGCCAGGATGATCTCAATCTCCTGACCTCGTGATCCACCCACCTCGGCCTCCCCAAGTGCTGAGATTACAGGTGCGAGCCACCATGCCTGGCCTACTTTCTTATTGAAATATTATTTATACCATAAAGCAAGACTCTGAATGTTCAGGTAAAACTTCATGTTGTAAGGAATTTTAAACTTTCCCTCTGGAAGTTCTGTAATTGAGTCTGCTGAAATAAATTGACAATAAACAAATTAACAGGAGAAGGCATACAAATTTATTAATGTGTACATGTGCACAAGAGGCACACAAAATATGAGACTCGAAGAGCCAGATGGTTGAAGTTTAAATACCCTCTTCATAGGAGAGAGGGAAGTGGGGGATGTAGGCAATTTGAGAGAAAGAGTAAATGATTTTTAGGTAAAATTAATGGTTCCAAAGGACAGACAGTAGCCTGGGACAAAGTTTCTCTGTGCTCTAGGGAAGGTGGCAGCAAGTTACAGGAAGGAGAGGGGCAGAACTGCACTGCGAACAAAGGTTGGCCTATTATGTAAATAAAGTCTCTCAGGTTAATAAAAAAGTTCCAGAGCAGCCTCCAGAAGAATAAGAATATCCTGTCTGGGCATGGTGATGACTTTTAATCTTTACTCGTGACTAATCTTGACTGGTTGTTTGATGCAATTCCTAGGGAGGGAGTTTAAGACAGTTACATTTCTTTTAAAAGAACTTCCCTCAGTCAAATATGGGAACTTCAGAGAAAACTTATCCCTGCACATTGGAAGGGAAGATGGGGAACAGCAGGTCAGGGAGAGAGAGAGACCTTGGTTCTGCAATTTATTTCTGAGGCCTTTTAATCTCTTTTGTTCGAAGCACTCAGCATGCCAAAGCACCATATTTTGGGATATTGTTTTCTGAGCCCCAACATTGTCTATGGAGAGGACCGATGAAAATTAATCATACCCATAGGAAACTCATCAAGTGCAGACCTAGTCCATTCCTCTCTATATCAAAAGGAAATCTTGACATTAAAAAAAATTTTTTTTAAAGCTTCAATGTTATACTGTAAAACAAAATGAAAACTATTCATTTTAGTCTATACAGAAATAGAAAACCAGTTATCTAAATAAATTGCTTAGGGGATAGATTCTGATCCCAGGTCAGCCTTTGAAGCATCCAATGAACTTGGCTATGCTTAATCTAATATGCATTGAGAAGGATGTCTTTAGTATACGGGGTTGACATCAAATTTAACTATAGAAACATTTCAGTTAGACATCAAGTGGGCAACTCTTGATGATTCCACTGAATAAGAAATAATTGCTGCTAATTAGAAGCTACCTTTTTTATGTCTCAACTAGTCTTTGAAAAGAGATTACCAGTGATATTATTTATTGAGTTATTTTAATATCCATTTTGTGAAGATATTAGTATTTGTTGTATTCAGAAAAATTCTATAAAAAACATAGATAAATATTCTGTAAAACACTGAAATAAAATCTTTTAAGGAAATATTTTCAGGCCAGGGGCAGTGGCTCATGCCTGTAATCCCAGCACTTTGGGAGGCCAAGGCAGGCAGATCACTTGGGCCCAGGAGTTCAAGACCAGTGTGGGCAACATGCTGAGACCCTGTCTCTATTATTTTTTAAAAAATAGAAAGAAAGAGGGCCGGGCACATTGGCACACACCTGTAATCCCAATACTTTAGGAGGCCAAGGTGAGCAGATCACCTGAGGTCAGGAGTTCGAGACCAGCCTGGCAAGCATGGCAAAACCCTGTCTCTACTAAAAATACAAAAAAAAAAAATTTAGCCAGGCATGGTCGCGGGCACCTGTAATCCCAGCTACTGAGGAGGCTGAGGCAGGAGAATCACTTGAACCTGGGAGGCAGTTGCAGTGAGCCCAGATCATGCCATTGCACTCCAGCCTGGGCAACAAGAGCGAAACTCCGTCTCAAAAAAAAAATAATAATAATAATAATAAGTAAATAAATAGAAAGAATATATTTTTAGCAGATAAAATAACTCTCAACACAGTAGGTTCTGCAGCCTCTTTACAAGCTGGCTCTAGAAACACAAGAATCCCTGAAATGGGTCTAGTAAGGGAAAAGAGAAGCAGGAATTATCAGTACCAAGCTGCAGCAAAAGAATGGGGAGTTTTCATGTGTTAACCTTTCTATTTTCTCTTTCCCTCTTCCCTTCCTCCTTTGCCCTCTGATGTGCCATGCCATTACAGCACCATACTTAACTTTCTTTTTTGATCATCTATCCCCTTCAGGAATCTGATGAAAGTTATACATGTTTTCTTCAGAAAATGATGCATATACTCATACAATTATGAACACCATTCTAGGAGTATTCATGGATTCTCTGCGTTTAGGGACGGACCTAATAACACTCCTCTTCCCTCATTATGAGCCTCTGCCTCAACCTCTTACCAAATCTTTCAATAAAAGAATCTGATAAATTCATTCATACCCAAATGCAATAAGGCTTAATATTTGGCCATTCTCTCATAGAAGAGAATTATAATTGAAGTGACATCATCTGTAACTAAAGGATGTAAGCATCATTGTACTATGTGGGAGCAGCATTTACCACCTAATGACTCCTTCCTGAAGACCCAAAATCAAACCCTCATATAAGGTTAACTTGATTTTGGGTGCCTACTCTTGAACTCAATTCAGAGTATATAGAATTGAATTCATCTTTCCCCCAGAAAATTAATTCCACTTCCTTTTTTTTCCTTTTTTTAAATTGAGACAGTCTCCCTCTTTTGTCCAGGCTGGAGTGCAGTGGTGTGATCTCAGCTCACTATAACCTCTGCCTCCTGGATTCTCCTGCCTCAGCCTCCTGAGTAGCTGGGGATCACAGGTGCCCACCACCACACCTGGCTAATTTTTGTATTTTTAGTAGAAACAGGGTTTCATCCTGTTGGCCAGGCTGGTCTTGAACTCCTGACCTCAAGCGATGCACCCACCTCAGCCTCCCAAAGTCCTGGGATTACAGGCATGATCCACTGCACCTGGACTAATTCCACTTTCGTTGCCTTCATAATCCAGGTTCAGAATCTTGAAATTACCTGGATCCTTCACTCTTCTCCTTTCGTCCAATCATCAAACACTGTCGTTTTTTATTTATAATGTCTTTCACATCCATCCCTTCCTCTATTTATTGGTTTCCTATTGCTGCTGTAACAAATGACTCCAAACTTAGTGGCCTAAAACAACACAAAATTTATTATTTTACAGATTCTGGAGGCTAGAAGTCTGAAATGAGTCTTATCGGGCTAACATCAACATATTGACAAGGCTGGCTTCCCTCTGGAGACTCCAGGAGATAATCCACTCCTTGCCTTTTCCAGCTTTTAGAAGTCTGCCATATTTAACAGTTCATGGCTTTATATCACCTTCTCCTAACTTCGACTCTCCTGATTCTTTCATGTAAAGACCCTGGTGATTACATTGGGTTAACCATGTTCATCCAAGATAGTCTCCTTATCTCAACATCTTTAATCATATTTGCATTTAAAAAAACATATGCACAGGTTCTGGGGATTAGGACATAGATATCTTGGCAGAGGGGGATAGATTATTCAGCCCACTGTACTCTATAATATCACCTCTTCCTCAACCCTACTTCTGGTCCTTATCTGTACCACTGAACTAGTTCAACATTTCCTAAACTGGTTTTCCTGACCCCAGCCTCTCTCCCAATTCCCCATCCATTCTACATACCAATAACAAATATTCATTAAAACTTAGTTCTTCATCCTATTCCCCATACCCATTCCAAGGCCCTGAACCTAGTTTACTTTAGGCTGGCATTGGTCACTCTTTTGTTTGTTTGTTTGTTTGTTTGTTTTTTCAGATGGAATCTCACTCTATCGCCCAGGCTGGATTGCAGTGACGCCATCTCGGCCCACTGCAACTTCCGCCTCCCAGGCTCAAGTGATTCTTCTGCCTCAGCCTCCTAAGTAGCTGGGATTACAGGCATGTGCCACCACACCTGGCTAACTTTCATATATATATATATATATATTTTTTTTTTTTTTAGTAGAGACAGGGTTTCACCACGTTGGCCAAGCTGGTCTCGAACTCCTGACCTCAGGGATCCACCCATCTTGGCCTCCCAAAGTGCTGGGATTATAGGCATGAGCCACTGCGCCCAGCCCACTCTTAACAAACTAATCTCCACACTGTCCCACAACCTACATAAACCAATTATTTGTTCAGATCATACCCGCTTCTTGCCTCCAAAATTCTGCCATTATGCTAAAGTTTACATAAGTCCCACCTCTTCCATGACTTCATCTCAACAGTTCCCAGTCACAATGTTTCTACTTTCTTTTACTTCCTACAGCATTTTTTGTAGGGGTGATGCCTCTAGCATTTATCACATGCTACTGGGTCTAGATCCTGTCTCCACCTCTTTCCCACTATATGATCTTAGACAAGTCATTTCCGTTTCCCATGCCTCTGTTTTCTTGTCTATAAAACTGATGATATTTATGCCCTAATTATAGGATTATGATGAGGGTTCAAAGAGATAACAAAGCATTTAAGATACTTAGCATGTAGTGTTACCTCCTCCTCCTTTTTCTTCTTATTTGCCTTCTTTAATATATGACCTAAATCCTTTGTGCTATTAAAAATTCCTTGAAGATTCTGACTATTTCTTTTTTTTTTTTTTATGATGGAGTTTCACTCTGTTGCTCAGGCTGGAGTGCAGTGGCATGATCTTAGCTCACTGCAACCTCCACCCCCCGGGTTCAAGCAATTCTCCTGCCTCAGCCTCCCGAGTAGCTGGGACTACAGGCGCCCCCCTCCACACCCAGCTAATTTTTGTATTTTTAGTAGAGATGGGGTTTCACCATGTTGGCCAGGCTGGTCCTGAACTCCTGACCTCAAGTGATCTACCCGCCTCGTCCTCCCAAAGTGCCGGAATTAAAGGCATGAGCAACCATGCTCAGCCAGTTACAACTACTTCTTATACATTATGCCATATACATTGGAGGCTCAATAGATACATTTTTTCTCACTATTGTTGTGGTGATGATAATTATGATAATGTAAAGGGACAATCTGATATTATTTTCACAACATTGATATGGTCCTTGACATTTCTGTTTCTCATTCTTGTTATATATGTGAATTCCTTCTTTTCTCTTAAACTGTTTACACTCCTGTTAACTGTGTAGAGAGATTCATGCTTAATTCATTGTGGAAACACCTAAAGACAATGCTTGGCAAACAGCTGGGCTTCATCAAATATTGGCTGAAGGAATGAATCTTCTAGTGTTACAGAATCTGCCTGTCACATCACCTCCTTTACCCATGATTGATAATCTGAAAAATGAAGAGATTGTATTTAATGATCTCTAAAGTCATTTGAAGCTCTAAAGTTCACTCATAGTACAATTCTGTGAATAGGGCCAGAAACTAATTTGACCAAGAAATAACCCTTTCTTACCTTTTGAATTGTTTCATCAAACAGTACTGTCATTTGATATCACCATTCTATGGTGCCAGTTTATAAAGTAAATCTGTTTATGGAGACAGAAAAGCAAATTTTTCCACTAATTGCTAAATATAAATTAAGTCAACCACTATTCAGTAGCTATTATTGGCAACTACCTTTGGTATTACAAACCTATTATATATATATACACACACATACACACATATATACATAGTATAAGATATCTTTTGTTCTAATGCAAAAAACAGTTTAGTCAAATATATATGTGGCACTTATATAAATATTCATTTGGTTGAAGGTAATATAATAAAATGTGCTTTTAAAGACAAATGTATAATTAAGGTTGAAAATGTGAAATTGTAGTCAATATGGGTTTTGGCCAGAAATAGCTAAGTCCCTGATCTATGTAAGTAACTTCTCCCCTTAAGGTCCACAAGGAAAATACATGCACAGAGGATTAAGCAAATAAAAAACTTGCTATTAGATGAGGCTTTAATGCCAAACCTCAGTGTGGAACTTTAGGGTACTTGTTTGGAACTTGGGTAAGAAGTACCTTTGCCTAAACTTCATTAGTCTAAAGGACCTTGAACCAAAACAGAGGCCTATTTTCTCTACATCTGCCCCATAGCTCAAATCCACAACTTAGATCTTGCTATTTTAATGTCCACTACAGTTGTATACCCCTTCCACAAGACTCTACTCAAAGCATGGCCTCAATAGTGTCCTTTAACTCTACCAATCTATAGCAGCAGCTCCTCCTCCTTAGAGGAGAGAAGAAATTGCCATGGCCAAAAATTGGAGGGAAAAAAGATAAATTCCTCCCTTACACCATATAGCAAAATAAATTCCAGATAAATTTGAGAAATAACGACAAAAGTTTCAGAAAAAAACTGAGGAAGTACAAAATTTTGTGGAGGGGAAGGAGTCTGTAAGCGTGGTACCATGAAAGAAAATGGAAAGGATTGATAGGCTTTATTATATGAAACTTAAAGCAGAAAATTAAACTCTATAAAAACGTTAAAAGGCAACATCCAAGTGGGAAAATATCTGTACTAAGAGCATTTTAAAATAAATTTGAAGAAATGATCCAAAAAAATAGCAGAGGCCTTGATTAGGTAACCACTACCACCTCCCCACCCCAACACACACACACGCACACATTAATGGGGAGACCTATCCAGCATTTTCTGCGAATTCTTCCCTTAAGAGAAAACATTTAAGTCAAAACCTTAAGGATGTGAAGAGTTGCCAGGTGGGAGAAGAGCATCCCTGGGAGAGTGAACAGCATGTGTGAAAGTTCTGAGGCTGGAAAGAGCTTGTCATGTCAAGGCACTGAAAGGATTGCAGGATTGTCAGCATGGCTGGAGCAGAGTGGGCAGAAGGGGTGGCAGGAGGTAAATTTAGAGAAAAGGGCAGAGACATATCATGCAGACCCTTCTGGGGACCTTGATTTTATTGGACATTCAATGAGAAGCCACTGGAAGGTTTTATACAGATCACTGGCACCTGGAAAGACGGCAAGGGTGGAAGGGGAGTGGTAGTAGAATTATAAAGGCCAACCAGGAGGTTATGGAGGATATTGAAGTAATCTGGGCTAGAATGGCAGTAGCTTGGGTTCAGATGATGGCTGTAGAGATGAAGAGAAGTAGATTGAGTCAAGAGCTAATTTGAAGGTAGAAGAGAAAACAGCTAGGAATAGAGGGTTGGGAGTGGGAAAATCAAAGAAAAGTCCTAGATTGCTGGCTTGAGCAGCTGGTTAAGATAGTGCTGTCCTTTATTAAGGTCAAAACGATTGAGGAAGGAACAAGTTAGAATAGAAATAAAGGTCATCCTCTAAAAGTATAAGGTCCTTGAGGGAGTATCTATGTTTAATTTTGCTTACCACCATCTACGCAGCACCTAGCATACTGCCTAAGAAAATAGGCAGTATTTGTTGAATTAATGGATACAAATTGAACCGGGTTTGATGGCAGTTCTGTAACATCCTAACCACTCAGTTCTTACAACAATAGAGGATTTGGTTAATTGAAATGAAATATTAAATGAACGTGGAATAAAGTTCTAAGATTCCCATTTCAAATTCATGCATCAATTGATAGTGATAAGTTAATATCTTCTACAAATATGAACATTCTATAAAGCAAATGATGTTTTTACTGAATGTCTAATGTAAAAATGTCTGATGCTGTACAAGGTACTTCAGGAAGGAAAAGTCCCAAGAACTTCACTATAGATAATGGCTCTTTGTTATTGCTGAAGCTCTTAAATTCTATTGTTGTAGAGAGTTGACTCTTAAAAGCACTGCAGCCTTGTACCACTGACTTCTATTTTAGATGGGGGAGCAAAAGAGAGCAAGTGACATCATCTCTGTGTCAGCTGTTGATGCTTGTCAGCTTTGACAGGCTGAGGAGGAGCTCTAGAATGACACAGAGACCAAATCAGTATTCAGCTTTTAAACTCTTAGGGAACACGGTTTTTAGCATAATCACATTAACATGCTATTTGTATATCCCAGCTCTACTAGAATATGGATATCATTATGTGAAAAGAAAAAATCCTATAGAGGAGGATACAGAAGTGTATATTCACTGGTGTTCTGCCAAAAGATACTTTTCAATAGGTAATTGGCATTTAGTATCTTTACTATTCCAATAAAGGCTTTTCAAAAATTGGCACTATCATTGAAAATCAGATTTGATAAAGGAGACCTCAGACTCAGTTAAATATATCCAGAGCTGAAGCTGTATCTCTGTCTACATGAGTTTTAAAATAAACAGTCTATAAAGCCATGCAAAGTTTTTTTAATATTCTGAAAGTATTAAATATAATTATTAATTCCATATGACCCAGCCATTCTACTCCTGGGTATTTACCCAAAAGAACTGAAAGCAAGGTCTCAAAGAGATCTTTGTAGACTCATGTTCACAGCAGCATTATTCACAGTAGCCAAAAGGTAGAAGTAACTTGGGTCTATCAGCGGTTGAATGGATAAATGAAAGGTGGTGTATGCATACAATGGAATATTCGGCCTTCGAAAGGTAGTATCAGACACACGCTACCACATGGATGAACCTTGAGGACATTATGCTAAAGTGAAATAAAAGTCACAAAAAGATAAATATTGTATGATTCCACTACTATAACGTACCTAAAGCAGTCAAGTTTATAAAGACAGCAGAATGATTGTCAGGGCCTGGAGGAAGAGGAAATGGAGAGTGGTTGTTTAATGAGCACAGAGCTTCCATTTTGCAGGTGAAAGATTCTGGAGATGGATGGTGGTGATGGTTGCACAACAATATGAATGTACTTAATACCATTGAACTGTACACTTTAAAATGGTTAAGATGGTAAATTTTATGTTGCATGTATTTTACCACAATTAAAAATAATAACTATTAACTAACTTTAAGTAGAAATTGTAATATTACAATAATCTGGCATTACAAGACATTAGATAGGACATTGTATTTTCCTTCCTTTACTTTCCAGATCCCTAATACTTTGAAAAGATGGAATGTGCATAAAGCTGCAACCTCTGTGCACTGCCACAGGACTTCCCCTATCCTTGTCCCTTCTTCGTATCACTCCCTCTGGAGTTAGGAATGTGGTGGGATTTTTATATCCCAGGATGCAGTGGGCCAGTTTAATTCTTCCTAGATTCTGCCTAGTTGCTTTCAGGGAGCTGCAGTTTTCAAATGGCTATAGATTGATTCTGGGGGCGGAGGAGGTAGAGGAAGATGGGGATAGGGAAACCTGTGATCTGGCTGCCTCAGAAAATAGTGCCTGCACATTTCAGGCATGGCAGAGAGGGAGAAAGAAGGGTTTTAGTTCTACTTTCAATTAGGAAGGATCATTCCATTTCTGACAGTAAAATTTGGGTGTATTTATTTTTCAGTTGTGTTTTGTTGCTTTAAGAATGATGGAAATGCTTTTTAGATCCTAGCAACAGACTGACAAATCTTACCATTTTTGGAGGAGGAATGTGACATTTTCACATTTTCTGGACCATCACAGGTCTTTTCACTGACAGCTAGGAAAGGCTGTCAGGGCTGTGAGCCAGGTGCTGTTTTAAATCATTATCTTTCTTTTTACTCTTTCTGCTGGCTTGTTTTGGAGAGGGCAGATTAAGGCATGGGAATCTCCTTTGGGACCGTCAATGAATCTGTAGTGAAGATTTGCCTTTTCTAAGATTCATTCTCAGAGAAATTTAGCATTATGTTTCAAACCAATGCACAGATGACAGGGTGAAGGGAAGCTCTGAACTGTTTAGGTCACCATCCTATCATCTATCCCAGAATTCCAGAAGTCAAAGTAGGCAAACAGTCCATGCTTCATGGGTCCCTAGTGACACTGACTCGTAGCAGTGTAAATAAATGGTTATGTTGTGCATATTTCTAATTTCAGATTTTAAATGTTCAGTTAAAATGTCATCTGATCAAGAGATTGGGCTATATAATGACTGGAATAGTGGCTGGATTCTAAACCTGATGAGCTTTATGTCCCATGTGCACCCAAAGAATGTTTTTTAATGACTGATGAGTAAGGTAAATTTTTGTTTTCTTCTCCAAATGGCTATGGATTTTCTTTTTCTCAGTGAACACTGATCTTGAATACATTCAGATGTTAAAACCCAGCTGTTTCTCTTTCTGAACAAAAAGCAGTCTTAATTAGTTTTTATAACATATACATGCCTTTCACTCTAGAGAAGTGCAACACTTAACAAATGACATTTTAATTAAAATCCAGTGAATACTTTTCCTGTTCTTTTTCTCCTTGTATTGTTTTGCTCCATAGTTTCTGTATCTGACACACAAGGGAGAAATATCTCCAAAATATAACTTTTCAGATAAGAGAATCTGTTAACCAATTTTTAAAGAATTTATGAATTTTCAGTTTATGATTAAGTTTTCCCCATTTATATAACTTTAATTATAGGCTTCATGAAAGAAAAGACTGTAATTATTATTATTATTATTTTTTTTTTTTTGAGACAGTCTTGCTCTATTGCCAGGCTGGAGTGCAGTGGTACAATCTTGGCTTGCTGCAACCTCCGCCTCCTGAGTTCAAGCAATTCCCTTGCCTCAGTCTCCCAAGTAGCTGGGACTACAGGTGCATGCCACCACACCTGGCTAATTTTTTATATTTTAGTAGAGACGGGTTTTCACCATGTTGGCCAGGATGGTCTCAATCTCCTGACCTCGTGATACACCCACCTTGGCCTCCCAAAGTGCTGGGACTACAGGTGTGAGCCACCACACTCGGCCAAAAGACTGCAATTATATCAATTTTACATATTGATAAATTGATTTTTGGTTAGAAGATGGCCTAAGGCCATATACATGTTTTGTTTTTGTTTTTTGTTTTTTTGAGGCAGGGTTTTGCTCTGTCACCCAGGCTGGAGTGCAGTGATGGTCACAGCTCACTGCAGCCTGAAACTCCTGGGCTCAAACGATCCTCCTGCCTCAGCTGCCCAAGTAGCTGGGACTACAGGTGGGTGCCACCACACCTGGCTAATTAAAAGAATACACTTTTTTGGAGATGAGATCTCACTGTGTTGTCTGGGCTGGTCTTCAACTCCTGGCCTCAAGTGATCTTCCCGCCTTGGCCTCCCAAAGTGTTGGGATAACAGCCATGAGCCACTGTGCCCAGCAAGGTTGGTTTCTTCTGAGACCTCTCTGCTTGGCTTGTATGTGGCCCTCTTCTCCCTGTGACTTCACTTGGTCTTCCTTCCATGCATGTCTGTGTCCTAATTTCCTTATCTTATAAAGACATCAGTCATATTGGATTAGGGCCCACTCTGATGACCTTACTTTAACTTAATTACCTCTTGGAAGACCCCCTCTCCAAATATAGTCACATTCTGAGGCACCGGGATTAAGACTGCAACATATGAATTTTAGGGGACACAGTTCAGCCCATAACACCAACTCACAGACTTGCCATGTTTTTTTCATTTGATTGAGACGGAGTAAAGTAGTCTCAGATGATAACTGTTTGTATACAGACAAAATACTTATAAACAATATTCAAACTGGAGTCAGATTATACCACAAATATAGGTTGTTTGGAGACTCCCAAATGGCAATTGGTAAGGATGGCAGATTTTTGGACCAACAAATCTCACAAGCCTAAGGACGTCAAAGGCCTATCAGGAATAATGGGGTTCCAGCTATAAGGATATTAAACACATGCATGTGTAAAGACTATGAATAGATATACCTAAGACTTTGCACCTGGGCTGTCTAGTTTGCATACCAAATCTGTCCTTCCAGGATCTGGGGGAAAAAAGAAAGAGTGAATGAGAGTTCAGAAGAAACCTTTGAATATATTTTCAAACCAAGACTAGTTTCTTCTTTTGCTACTTAGTTTAGGGCCATGGATATTCAAAGTCTAAAAAGGTTACCATTGCCCTAAAACTTATATCATCCCACTTACCTATAGGGACATTCCCATTACTAATTTGTATATTATCTGTTTATTCCCACAGATGACTTGTTTACTAGTTATGATACTTAATTTCCCTAAGGATCATTTTTCTCATCTCTAAACTAGGGATGAGCCAGGTGCCTTGGCACATACACCTGTAGTCTCAGCCACTTGAGAGACTGAGGCAGGAGGATCACTTGAACCTAGAAGCTCAGAGTTGTAGTGCACTACGATGGCACCTGGGACTGACCACTGCACTCCAGCCTGAACAACACAGTGAGACCCCATCTCTAAAAAAGTAAAATAGGAGGCCGGGCACGGTGGCTCACACCTGTAATCCCAGCATTTTGGGAGGCTGAGGCAGGTGGATCACAAGGTCAGGAGATGGAGACCATCCTGGCTAACCTGGTGAAACCCCATCTCTACTAAAAAAATACAAAAAAAAATTAGCTGGGGGTGGTGGTGGGCGCCTGTAGTCCCAGCTACTCAGGAGGCTGAGGCAGGAGAATGGCGTGAACCCGGGAGGCGGAGCTTGCAGTGCACTCAAGCCTGGGTGACAGAGTGAGACTCAGTCTCAAAATAAATAAATAAATAAATAAATAAAAATAAAATAAAATAGGAATAATAATAGTACGTAACTCGCAAGGTTGATGTGAGAATTAAATAAGATGATGCCATTAAATGTCTGGCACAAAGTGAATATACAATAAAATATTAACTAACATCAGCTAAACTCCATGAAGGTAGGAGCCATATCTGGACTAATCACTACTGTGTACCCACTTCCTGGGAGACAAGAGATACTCAATAAATGTGTTCAGTGGATGAAACAATTAACCACAATCTGATTTTGGGATCATTGAAACAAAAACAGGGGAAGGCAGGACAGATAGGAGAGTGCACTATATTTTTTAATTGATTTTTTAATGTAATAAAGTTGTCATTGCATTTTTGAAACATTTGTATAAGATAGTAAACCTCTGACTAAGATTGTTTCATCACTGAGAAAATTATTTTTTCTTTCACAAGTTCATGAACACTTCTCTCAAATCCACACTTGTCAGGGTTGTTTTTCAGAATTTATGTTTCTTATTTTTTATTGAGAAAAATGAAAACAACTGTATACCATCCCACTTTGAATAATTTGAAACCTGAAACTAATTACTTCTATATCCACTCCTCATACTATGCATGCCAATGACTTGAAGGAATTTTTAGGAATTTTAGGAATGCCAATGACTTGAAGAAAAATGAAACAAGCCATCATGGTTCTCAACCACACCTGCTCAGTCCTTGTCTTTGCTTCCTTTCTCCTACCTATCTGCCACCCTGGAAAGGTGTGGTGTGGAGACTAAAATGCTAAAAAACAAAAATAAGAGGAAGTGGGCACTGCACTGGACACAGACTTGTTCCCACCCACTTGGAATTAAATTAGGCAGCACCACGACAACCGATAGAGAAACCAAAGGGAACTTCCACCTCTCACTTCACCACATACTCCTAGATGCATGTGCAGCCCTATGTGAGCAGGAGCTGGCCATTTCCAAAGAACAGGCAACCTGGAGCGCTGGGGAGGCTGCCTGGCTTGCATACACGGAAATCCTCCCAGCCAAATCCTTAGGGAAGGGAAAGCTGATATGCATGACCTGGAGGGCTGAGGATCAAGGTTCAGGGCACACATAGTGACTTTCATGGGTACGTGGATATATGGCTACAAACAAATGGGGGCAAATTAACAAGAATAACTTCAAAGGAGTATCCTTAAGGAGAAAAGTTAAATGATACAAACCACATATATTGAAAGTAACAAATAGAGGTGGAGCAAGATGGCTGAATGGAAGCCTCCAGTGATCATCTTCCCTGCAGGAATACCAAAGTGAACAGCTATCCACATAAGAAAGTACCTTCATAAGAACCAAAAATCAAGTGAGCAATCACAGTACCTGGGTTTAACAGCATATAAGGAAAGAGGCACTTAAGGGGGTAGGAAAGACAGTCTTGAATTATAGATGCCACCCCTCTCCCATCCCCAGGTAGCAGCTTCATAGTGTGGACGGTGAATCTGTGTGCTTGGGGAAAGGAGAGTGCCGGGATTGTGGGACTTTCCATTGGAACTCAGTGCTGCCTATCACAGTGGAAAGCAACACAGGGAAGAATTCAGTCAGCACACATGGAGGGAGCATTTTGACCAATTCTAGCCAGATGGGAATTGTCCATCCCAGTGGTCAGAACTTGAGTTCCAGCTAGCCCCACCACCACAGGCTAAAGTGCTCTGAGGTCTTAAATATCTTTGAAAGGCAGTCTAGGTCACAAGGATTGTAATTCCTGGGCAGGTCCTGGTGCTGTGGTGGGCTCAGAACCAGTGGACTTGGGGTGCATGTGACCTAGTGAGACACCAGCTGGGGTGACTAAGGGAGTGTTTACATCACTCCTCCTCCAACCATAGGCAGCACAGCTCACAGCTTTAAGAGGTACTCCTTCTTTCTGCTTGAGGAGAGGAGAAGGGAGAGTAGATAGGACTTTGTCTTGCAACTTGGGTACCAGCTCAGCTGCAGTGGAAGAGGGCACCAGGAAAAGTCCTGAGGCTCCCATTCCAGGCACTAGCTCCCAGATGGCACTTCTAGACACACTCTGGGCCAAAAGACAACCCACTGACTTGAAGGAAAGGGCCCTCCAAGCAGGATTCATCACCTGCTGACTAAAGAGCCCTTGGTCCTTGAATAAACATCAGTGGTACCCACACAAGTCTCATCATGTGCCTCCAGTGAGACCCAGTGTCATGCTGGCTTCTGGAGATTTCTAACTGTGGTGGCTGCAGGGAGAGATTCCTTCTTCTTGAGAAAAGAAAAAAGAAGAGTGAGAAGGACTTCATCTTGCAGCTTAGGGGCCAGCTCAGCCACAGTAGAATACAGCACCATGTAGATTCCTAAAGTTCCCAACTCCAGGCCCTGGCTCATGGATGACATTTCTGGACCCATCCCAAGCCAGAGGGGAGCTTGCCACCATGAAGAGAAGGACAGAAGCCTGGCGGGACTCACCACCTGCTAACTGAAGAGCCCTTGGGCCTTGAGTGAACATAGGCAATGGCCAGGCAGTGATTGTCACAGGCCTAGGGAGAGACCCAGTGCTGTGCTGGCTTCAGGTCTGATCCAGTGGTCATGGCCACCGTCCACACTATGAAGTTTTATGTCACTTCAGCTTCAGCCTGCGCAGCATGGAGAGAGAGACTCTGTTTGTCTGGGGAAAGTAAGGGAAGAGAACAAGAATCTCTGTCTAATAATCCTGGAAATTCTCTCTTATCTTACACAAGACCACTAAGGCAATACCTCTACAAGTCTGCATACTAGCTTTGGGGTGGCCTCTAATACAAATATGGCTGCAGTGACCAAATACTTAGTTCTCAACAATCAATTTGCTTTAAATACTTGGCAAGCCTTCCCAAGAAAGATGTGTACAAATAAGCCCAGACTGTGAAGATTAAAATAAATACATAGCTTTTCAAATCCCAAACATCAACAAGTATCAAGACCATCCAGGAAAACATGACCTCACCAAACAAACTAAATAAGGCACCAGTGACCAATCTTGGAGAAACAGAGATATATGACCTTTCAGAGAGATAATTAAATACAGCTGTTTTGAGGAAGCTCAGTGAAATTCAGGATAACATAGAGGAAGAATTAAGAATCCTATCAGATAAATTTAACAAAGAGATTGAAATAATTTTTAAAAACCTAAGCACAAATTCTGGAGCCGAGAAATTCAATTGACATACTGAAGAATGCATCAGAGTCTCTCAACAGCAAAATTGATCAAGCAGAGAAAGAATTAGGTGAGTTTAAAGACAGCCTATTTAAAAATACACAATCAGAGGAGACAAAAGAAAAAAGAATAAGAAAGAATGAAGTACACCTACAAGATGTAGAAAATGGTCTGAAAAGGGCAAATCTAAGAGTTATTGGCCTTAAAGAGGAGGTAGAAAGATCAGGGTAAAAGGTTTATTCAAAGGGCTAATAACGGAGAACCTTCCAAACCTAGAGAAAGATATCAAGTATGAGAAGGTTATAGAAAACCAAGCAGATTTAACCTAAATAAGACTACCTCAAGGCATTTAATAATCAAACTCCCAAAGGTCAAGGATAAAGAAAGGATCCTAAAAGCAGCAAGGGAAATGAAACAAATAACATACAAATGAGCTCCAATACATCTGACAACAGACTTCTCAGTGGAAACTTACAGGCCAGGACAGAGTGGCATGATATATTTAAAGTACTGAGAAGCCAGGTATGGTGGCTTATGCCTGTAATTCCACCACTTTGGGAGGCTAAGGCAGGTGAATCACTTGAGTCCAAGAGTTTGAGACCAACCTGGGCAACAAAGTGAAACCCAACTCCACAAAAAAAACAAAAATTAGCCAGATGTGGTGGTGCACACCTGTAGTCCTAGAAACTTGAGAGGCTGAGGTGGGAGAATCACCTGAGCCCAGGAGGTCAAGGCTGCAATGAACTGTGATTGTGCCACTGCACTCCAGCCTCAGTAACACAGTGAGACCCTGTCTCAAGTAAATAAAGTACCAAAGGAAAAAATGTATCCTAGAGTAGTATATCCAGCAAAAATGTCTTTCAAACATGAAGGAGAAATAAAGATTTTCCCAGGCAAACAAAAGCTGAGGGTTTTCATCCACATCAGACTTATCCTACAAGAAATGTTAAAGGGAGTTCTTCAGTAGGAGAGAAAAGGATGTTAACAACAATAAATCATGTGAAGGTGCAAAACTCACTGGTAATATAAGTACACAGCAAACAGAATATTATAACACTGAACTGTGGTATGTAAACTACACATATCTTGAATAGAAAGACTGAAAGATGAGTTGATCAAAAATAGCTACAACATCCCTTCAAGATATAGAGTACAATAAGATATAAATAGAAGAAGTTAAAAAGCAAAGGGGGGAAGGAAGTTAAAGTGTAGAGTTTTTATTCTTTTTCTCTTAGCTTGTTTATTAGTTTGTTTTTGCAATCAGTATTAAGCTCTCATCAGGTTAAAATAATGGGTTCTAAGATAGTATTTGCATTGCAAGCCTTGTAGTAATCCCAAATCAAAAAACATAAAAGAAACACAGAAACAGAAAACCAAATACTGCATTTTCTGACTTATAAGTGGAAGCTAAATGATGAGAACACATGGACACATAGAGGAGAACAATACACACTGAGGCCTTTTGGAGGGTGAAGGATGGAAGGAGGGAGAGGATCAGGAAAAATAAAAATGGGTAATGGGCTTAATACATGGGTGATGAAATAATCTGTACAACAAACCCCATGACACAAATTTACCTATGTAACAAACCTACACTTGTACCCCTGAACTTAAAATAAAAGTTAAAAAAAAGATGGAAACAAGAGTTGGAAAAAAAAACATGCAACAGATACACAAAAAATAAAAAGCAAGAAATTAAAATATACCACCAGAGAAAATCACCTTCACTAAAAGGAAGACAGAAAGGAAGGAAAGGAGACCACAAAACATTTCTTGTAGGATAAGTCTGATGTGGATGAAAACCCTCAGCTTTTGTTTGCCTGGGCAAATCTTTATTAAACAACAAAATGGCAGGAGTAAGTCTGTACTTATCAATAATATTGAATGTAAATGAACTAAATTATCCAATGAAAAGAAATAGAGTGGCTGAATGAATAAAAAAAAGACCTGGCAATCTGTTGCCTACAAGAAACACACTTTGCCTATAAAGACACACATAAACTGAAAATAAAGGGGTGGAAAAAAATATTCCATGCGAAACCAAAAAAGAGTAGGAGTAGCTATACTTATATCAGACAAAATAGATTTCAAGACAAAAACTATAAAAAGACAAAATCATTGTATAATGATAAAGGGGTCAATTCAGCAAGAAGATATAACAATTGTAAATATACATACACCCAACACTAGTGCACAAAGGTATATAAAGCAAACATTATTATAGCTAAAGAGAGAGATAGACCCCAATACAATAATAGCCAGAGACTTCAACACCCCACTTTCAGCATTGGACAGATCATCCAGACAGAAAATCAACAAAGCAACATTGGACTTAATCCTACTGTAGACCAAATGGACCTAATAGATATCTACAGAACATTTTATCCAGTGGCTGTAGAATACATATTTTTCTACTCAGCACATGGATCATTCTCAAGGATAGAACATATCCTTGAGAATAAGGCCACAAAACAACTCCTAAAATTTTGTAAAATTGAAATTATATCAAGTACTTTCTCTGATCACAATGGACTAATACTAGAAGTCAATAACAAGAGGAACATTGGAAACTATACAAACACAAGGAAATTAAACAATATGCTCCTGAATGACCAGAAGCATATTGGGTCAATGAAGAAATTAAGAAGGAAGTTAAAATTTTTCTTGAAACATAAAAAAGGAAACAGAACATAAAAAAACCTATGGGGTACAGTGAAACCAGTACTAAGAGGAAAATTTATAGCAATAACCACCTACATAAAAAAGTGGAAAAACTTCAAATAAACAACCTAATGATGCACCTTAAAGAAGTAGAAAAGAGCAACCCAAACTTAAAATTAGCAGAAGAAATGAAATAATAAAGATCAGAGCAGAGATAAATAGAAATGAAACTTAAAAATACTGAAATCAACAAACAACAATTTGGTTTTTTGAAAAGATAAACTCAACAAATCTTTAGCCAGACTAAGAAAAAAGAGAGAAAACTCAAACAGATAAAATTAGAGATGGAAAAGGAGACATTGCAACTGATACCACAGAAATTCAAAGGATCATTAGAGACTGCTTTGAGCAACTATATTCCTGGACAAATACAACCTACCAAGATTGAACCATGAAGAAATCCAAAACGTGAATAGACCAATAACAAGCAACAAGATTGTAGTCATAATAAAAAGTCTCCCAGCAAAGATTAGCCTGACACTTGATGGCAACACTGCTGAATTTTGCTAAACACTTAAGGAAGAACTAATACCAATTCTAGTCAAACTAAATAGAGAAGGGAGTACTTCCAAACTCATTCTGTGAGGCCAGTATTACCTTGATACTAAAACCAGACAAAGACATGTCAGAAAAGAAAACTACAGGCCAATATATCTGATGAACCTTGATGTAAAAATACTCAACAAAATGTTAGCAAACCGAATTCAACAAAACATTAAAAAGATAATTCATTAAGACCAAATAGGATTTATCCTAGGGATGCAAGCATGGTTCTACATACACAAATCAATCCATGTGATAGATTATATCAACAGAATCAAGGACAAAAACCATACAATCATTTCAATTGATGTAGAAAAAGCATTTGATAAAATTCAACATTTCTTCATGATAAAAATCCTCAAAAAAACTGGATATAAAAGGAAGGCCGGGCATGGTGGCTCACGCCTGTAATCCCAGCACTTTGGGAGGCTGAGGTGGGTGGATCACCTGAGGTCAGGAGTTGGAGATCAACCTGGTCAACATGGTGAAACCCTGTCTCTACTAAAAATACAAAATTAGCCGGGCGTGGTGGTGCATGCCTGTAATCCCAGCTACTTGGAGGCTGAGGCAGGAGAATTGCTTGAACCCAGGAGGTGGAGGTTGCTGTGAGCCGAGATCATGCCGCTGCACTCCAGCCTTGGCAACACAAGAGCAAAACTCCGTCTAAAAAAAAAAAAAAAAGGAAGGAACATATTTCAATATAATAAAATTCATATACAACAGACCCACAGCTAGGAACAACTGAAAGTCTTTTCTTTATCTAGAACATGATAAGGATGCCCACTTTCACCTTTCTTATTCAGCATAGTACTGGAAGTCCTAGCTAGAGCAATCAGAGAAAACAAAGAAATAAAGGGCATCCAAATTGGAAAGAAAGAAGTCAAATGATCCTTATTTGCAGATCACATGATCTTGTAATTGGAAAAACCTAAAGACTCCACCAAAAAACTATCAGCACTGATAAACAAATTCAGTAAGTTTCAGGATACAAAAATCAACATACAAAAATCAGTAGCATTTCTATTATATATGCCAACAGTGAACAATCTGAAAAAGAAATCAACAAAGCAACCTGATTTACAATAGCTACAGATAAAATAAGACACTTAAGAACTAACCAAAGAAATGAAAGATCTCTGTGATGGAAACTATAAAACACTGATTCAAGAAATTGAGGAGGACATGAAAATTGGAAAGATATTCCATGTACATAAATTGGAATAATCAATATTGTTAAAATGTCCATACTACCCAAAGCAATCTACAGATTCAATGCAATGCCTATCAAAATACCAATGACATTCTTTACATATGTAGAAAAAATAATCCTGACATTTATATGGAACTACAAAAGATCCAGAATAGCCAAAGCCATCCCAAGGAAAAGAAACAAAACTGGAGAAATCATATTACCTGACTTCAAATTATACTACAGAGCTATTGTAACCAAAGCAGCCTGGGACGGGCATAAAAACAGACACATAAACCAATAGAACAGAATAGAGAACACAGAAATAAATCCATACATCTACAGTGAATTCATTCTTCACGAAAGTATCAAGAATACACATTGGGGAAAGGACAGTCCCTTCATAAATGGTGCTGAGAAAACTGGATATCCATATGCAGAAGAATGAAACTAGACCACCATCTCTTGCCATACGGAAAAATCAAATCAAAATGGATTAAAGTTTTGAATCTAATACCTCAAACTATAAAAATACTACAAGAAAATATTGGGAAAACTCTCCAGGACATTGGTCTGGGCAAAACTTTCTTTAGTAATACCCCCAAAGCACAGGCAATTAAAGCAAAAAATGGACACATGGGATCACATCAAGTTAAAAATGCACAGCAAAGGATACAATCAACAAAGTGAAGAGACAACTCAAAGAATAGGAGAAAATATCTGCAAACTACCCATCTGACAGAGGATTAATAACTAGAATGAATACATGAGGAGCTCAAACAACTCTATAGGAAAAAAATAATCCAATAATTTGATTAAAAGTGAGCAAAAGATCTGAATAGACATTTCTCAAAATAAGACATACAAATGGCAAACAGGTATATGAAAAGGTGCTCAACATTACTGATCACCAGAAAAATGCAAATCAAAATTACAATGAGATATCATCTCACCCCAATTAAAATGGCTTTCATCCAAAAGACAGGCAATAACACATGCTGGGGTGAGGGTGTAGAAAAAAAGGAACCCTTGTACACCGTTGGTGGGAAGGTAAATGAGTACAGCCACTATGGAGAACAGTATGGAGGTTCCTCAAAAAACTAAAAATAGAACTGCCATGTGATCCAGCAATCCGACTGCTAGGTAAATACCCAAAAGAATGGAAATCAGTACATTCCAAAGATATCTGTACTATCATGTTTATTGAAGCAGTATTCACAATAACTAAGATTTGGAAGCAACCTAAGTGTCCATCAACAGATGAATGGATAAAGAAAATGTAGTACTATTTAGCCATAAAAAAGAATGAGATCCTGTCATTTACAACAGCATGGATGGAACTTGAGGACATTATGTTAAATGAAATAAACCAGGCATGGAAAGACAAACTTTGCATGTTCTCATTCATTTGTGGGAACTAAAAATTAAAACAATTGAACTCATGGAGATGGACAGTAGAATGATGGTCACTAGATGTTGGAAAGGATAATAAGGAAAGAGGGGAAGTGAAGATAGGTAATGAGTACAAAAATGTAGCTAGAATGAATAAGATCTAGTGTTTGATAGCACAACAGGGTGATTACAGTTATCAGTAATTTATTGTTCATTTTAAAATAACCAAAAGAATATAATTGGAATGTTTATAACACAAAGAAATGATAAATGCTTGAGATGATGGATACCCCATTTACCCTGATGTGATTATTATGCATTGTAGGCCTGTATCAAAATATCCCATGTACCCCATAAATATATATACCTACTATGTACCCATAAAATTTTTTTAAATTAAATAAAGTGACAAATAGCAAAATTCTAGGGTAGAAATTAAATAAAATTAATTTTCCTATTATGCACAGGTTCCCATTATGCTCAAGGCTCAAATATCACAAATTGCCAATCAGCAATATTGAGGCAATTAGAAAATAAGTCGTCTTAAAATACTTAAAATACTTAAAAATATTTAAGTGTGTCAATGCGGTCACACATAATCTCTCAGTGAGCAATCCCTATCAAAATCCCAATGGCATTCCTCACAGAAATAGAAAACAAAACCCTAAAATTCATATGGAGCCATAAAAGACCCCAAATAGCCATAACAATTGTGAGAGGCAAAAACAAAGTTGGAGGCATTATACTTTCTGTTATCAAATTATATTACAATGCTATAATAATCAAAACAGTATATACTGGCATAGAAACAGACACATAGACGAATGAGTCAGATTAGAGAGACCAGAAATACATCCAAGCATATACAGTCACATAACTTTTGACAAGGACACCAAGAGAACACAATGGAGAGAGGCTAGTCTCTTCAGTAGATGATGCTAGGAAAACTGGATTTCTATAGGCAGAAGAATGGATTTGGACCCTTATCTTACACCATACACAAAAATCAACTAAAAATGGATAAAAACCTAAATAAAAGACTAGAAACTATAAAACTCCTACATGAGAACATAGAGAAAAAGCTCCTGGACATTGTCCTTGGCAATAATTTTTTGGATATCACACCAAAAGCTCAGGCAACAAAAGCAATACTAAATAAATGGGACTAAATCAAACTAAAAAGTTTCTGCACAGCAAAGGAAATAATCAGGAAAAAGAAATAGAAGCCTATGGTTTGGGAAAAAATATTTGCAAACATATACCTGGTAAGGGGTTAATATTCAACATTTATAAAGAACCTATACAACTCAATAGTGGAAAAGCAAATAACTCAATTTAAAAATGAGCAAAAGACCTGTGTCTTTCTCCAAAGAAGATATAACAATGATCAGCAGGTATATTGAAAGGTGCTCAACATCATTAATCATCAGAGAAATTTAAATCAAAACCATTATGAGATATCACCTCACACCCCTTAGGATGGCTATTATAAAAAAGGATGGCCAGGCGTGGTGGCTCATGCCCGTAATCCCAGCACTTTGGGAGGCCGAGGCGGGTGGATCACTTGAGGTCAGGAGTTCGAGACCAGCCTAGCCAACATGGTGAAACCCCATCTCTGCTAAAAATACAAAAATTAGCCAGGCTTGGTGGTGTGCGCCTATAGTCCTAGCTACTTGGGAGGCTGAGGCAGGAGAATCACTTGAACCTGGGAGGTGGAGGTTGCAGTGAGCCAAGATTACACCATTGCACTCCAGCCTGGGCGACAGAGCAAGACTCCATCTCAAAAAAAAAAAAAAAAATCAAAAATAACAACTGTTGGCTAGGATGTGGAGAAAAGAGAACTCTTGTGTGCTGTTAGTGGAAATGCAGATTTGGTACAGCTGCTATGGAAAACAGCATGGAGGTTTCTAAAGAAATTAAAAATAGAACTACTGTATGGCCCAGCAATCCTTCTTCTGGGTGCATACACAAAGGAAATGAAATTATCACCCTGTAAAGACATCTGCACTCCCATGTTCATTGCAGCATTATCCACAATAGCCAAGATATGGAAACAACCTAAATGCCTGTCCCTGGTCGAATGAATAAAGACACTGTGGTACACAAATACAAAGGACAATTATTCAGCCCTAAGAAATAAAAAGATCTTGCTATTTGTTAAAACGTGGATGAGACTGGACTTATGCTAAGGGAAATAAGCCAGACACAGAAAAAATAAATTGCGTGATCTCACTTATATCTGGAATCTGTAAAAACAAAACAAAACAACAACTATACAGAGATAGAGAACAAAACAGTGGTTATCAGGGAGGGTCTGGTGGAGGAAATGGGGAGATGTAGTTCAGAGGATACAACATATATCTGCTTTGTATCATGTCTTTGAAGGATGAATACATCTAGAGATCTAATGTAGACATGAGAATTATAGGTAATAAAATTATACTGTATTTGGAATTCATGCTAAATGAGGTTTTTTGTTTAGAAACAAAAAAAAGTAACTATGTGAAATAATAGATACATTAACCCATTTATGCCTAGTGTTCCATTATTGGAATGCTAAGCATGTGGGAGTTATTTATATCCTACTGCTCAAGGTCATCACCAAGGTCTGATTACAAAAATTCAAAAAATTGCAACCTCAGGCATAAATGGATTATTGCTTCACTATAGTAAGCTTTTTACTGTCTATCTATCAATATATTCCAT
The DNA here is from genome assembly GCF_000001405.40 of Homo sapiens. NCBI lineage: Eukaryota > Metazoa > Chordata > Mammalia > Primates > Hominidae > Homo > Homo sapiens. The sequence goes on along the minus strand of NC_000004.12, from coordinate 88,559,053 downwards.
AATATGTTATATACCTTCTGTATACACAATGAAATGTATTTTTAAGAAAAAGAATCTCTCAATGAGAATTTTTTTTTTTTTTTTTTGAGACAGAGTCTCGCTCTGTTGCCCAGGCTGGAGCGCAGTGGCATGATCTCGGCTCACTGCAAGCTCCGCCTCCTGGGTTCACGCCATTCTTCTGCCTCAGCCTCCCCAGCAGCTGGGACTACAGGCGCCCACCATCATGCCTGGCTAATTTTTCTTTTTTTTTTTCTAGTAGAGACGGGGTTTCACCATGTTAGCCAGGATGGTCTCGATCTCCTGACCTCGTGATCCGCCCGCCTCGGCCTCCCAAAGTGCTGGGATTACAGGCGTGAGCCACCGCGCCTGGCCTCTCAATGAGAATTTCTAAAATTGTTTTAATTTCAAAAGTTTTCAGGATACAGGTGGTTTTTGGTTACTTGGATAAGTTCTTTAGTGGTGATTTCTGAGATTTTAGTGCACCCATCACCCAAATAGCGTACACTGTACCCAGTATGTAGTGTTTTATTCCTCACTCCCCTCCCAGACTTCCCATTCAAGTCCACCAGGTCCATTATGTCATTCTCATGCCTTTGCATCCTCATAGCTTAGCTCCCACTTATAAGTGAGAACATATGATATTTGGTTTTCCATTCCTGAGTTACTTTGCTTAGAATAATGGCCTCCGTCTCCATCCAAGATGCTGCAAAAGACATTATTTCATTCTGTTTTGTGGCTGAGTAGTATTCCATGGTGTATATATACCACATTTTCTTTATCCACTCATTGGTCGAGGGGCACTTAGGTTGGTTCCACATCTTCCCAATGGCTAATTGTGCTGCTATAAACATGCATGTGCATGTGTCTTTTTCATAAAATGACTTATTTTCTTTTGGGTAGATACCTGGTACTGGGATTAGTGGATCAAATGGTAGTTCTACTTTTAGTTCTTTTTTTCTTTTTTTTTTTTTTTTTTTTTTTTGAGTCAGAGTCTCGCTCTCGTTGCCCAGGCTGGAGTGCAATGGTGTGATCTCGACTCACCGCAACCTCCGCCTCCTGGGTTCAAGTGATGCTCCTGCCTCGGCCTCCTGAGTAGCTGGGATTACAGGCATGCACCACCATGCCTGGCTAATTTTGTATTTTTTTAGTAGAGACGAGAAAAATTTTGTATTTTTCTCCATGTTGGTCAGGCTGGTCTCGAACTCCTGACCTCAGGTGATCTGCCCGCCTCAGCCTCCCAAAGTGCTGGGATTACAGGCATGAGCCACTGTGCCCAGCATCCACTTTTAGTTCTTTAAGAAATCTCCATACTGTTTTCCACAGTGGTTGTATTAATGTACACTCCAACTAGCATTGTAAAAGTGTTCCCTTTTCACCACATCCGATCTGAAAGCCCTTGGATGCTTTGCTAGAGCTGGACTTTATTCTTTATATAATGAGACTACACAGAATGATTTTTAAGTCACTCAATGAAATTATCAGTTCCATTCTATATTTATATACATATATACACTTGTATACACACACACACGTATGTGAATATATCAGTGCTAGCAATATAAAGAACAAATATCCACCAAAAATATTGGTGACAGAGGTTGTTTTAGGAATCTAGATGATTCATGAAAACCTGAGTTAATACAAGGTAGCAGGGATGAAGAAGAGACCCATGTAAGTGAAATTTAGGAGGTAGATTTGACTGTATTTATGACTACTTATTGAGTCCATGCTATGAGGCAGGCTAACTACTAAGGAAATAGAAAAGAAAAAATAGCTCTTAACATTAAGTAACTTCTAGTCCAATGATGGATACAAACAGTTAAACCAACTACAAATCAATAGGGAAGTCATTATGATAGAGGTATAATCAGGCGCTATGGTTGCCTAGCAAAGATGTGATTAACTCAAACTAGGGAAAGAAAGGTAAAGGAATTGAAGGATAAGGTGGGAAAGGGAGAGGAAGGAAGAGGTGGGAGCTTTCCAGATGAAGTGAATCTAAAAGGGATAGATGGAGGAAGGGGGAGATGTATGGTCATTTTGCAGAACTGCAAAATGTGTGAATATATGTGAATATAAGGTACATGAGACCATGTGGTGATAAATGAGGCTGAAGAAACTAAGATAAGAATAGGAAAGATTCCAGCACTTTGGGAGGCCAAGGCAAGAGAACTGTTTGAGGACAGGATTTCTAGACCAGCCTGGGCAACAGAATGAGACTTTGACACTATTTAAAAAAAAAAAAATAGAAAGGGCTTCGTGCCATGGAGAGGAATTTGAAATTAGTTTGAAAGCTGTAGGACACCACCGAAGAATCATGGCAGGCAGGCAACAGAATCTAATTGGTGTCTGAGGAAGATGGCTGTGGTGGTAGAGTAGAAGACAGATTGCAGAAGGGTAAGGAAGCCAGGTCAGTAATGATATTAGGACTGAGTGCAAGTAAGGGATTAAGTAAAGGCTAGGATGAAGAGGTAGAATTTATAGGACTTGTGGCTGATCTGATGGGGAGGTTTTAGAAAAAGGAAGTAGCTGTTACCACAGTGATTATTTTCACATAATAGGCTCTCATAAATGTTGATAGAATGTAACTAAATTGCTTTTTTTCTTTAAATGGGTTTGTTTCAACCAACTAATTCTTTCAAAATAAGAGTATTTGTTTCTGTTAATGCTGCTAAAGAGTGTGGTTTTAGAGCTATTAGGGTTTACTTGCATTTTGTTCATGTCTTAACCCATTATTGCAAATGTTTGCAGAAAGCTTTTGGACAGCTAAACAGGTGCTAGTATTCAGAATGATTGCTTTGCACAAAGACACTTGGGGTTTAGCAGCTCCAGGGCACCTCCTATGTAACACAGTTGCTCCTACCCAGATGCTTCATTTTTCACTGAGGGATATTGGAGAATGCAAGATGTTTGAAAAGGCTAGGATGATTTTATGTATCATGTCAAAGAGTTATAGTCTGGAAACATCAACAAAGCAAAATAAATGTGAGTCCTTTGTCATACTTTTACAGCTTCCAGCGTCATCAATTTCAAACCTCCTTTAACTCTTCTTCTGACCCCTCTCCCCAAATCCAACCCAATTATCCATTGGAGACCCCCATGCCTATTATATATCTAATTGGTCAATCCAGTCTATTCTCTCATCTAGGTAACCTTACCAGCTTACTAGCTTCTCACTGGAGCTTAACAGGTCACCAATTTCATATAGAGTAACATTCACTATAATTCTCCTCTCTCCTCATTCTCATCGTATCAAACTTAACCAAGAATAGAATATTCCTGCTCAATCTCTGCTAATAGGATTTATCTGCATCCTCACTTCAGCAACCATTGTCATACAAAATAGTAAGTAAATTTTAATTTATTTCAGGTTAGATAAAAATTCTTCATATCCACTTGAAATATTTCAATAGAATATGCCAATATTGTTTTCAATAAATACACAAAATACCTTTTTAAAAGAACCTTTTATAGCAAACCTACCAGTTAATGATAATTAGCCATAAAAACAACATAATTCCATTAGTTTAATCAAATTTTCACTTGTAGCATACCCAAGAGCCACTTGTAAACAAAATTTCTCCATGTTAAACAAATCAAATGTTTTTAAGATATCTCAAACTACCCCAAAATAACTTGCAAAACTTCCATGCTGTCATACTCCACTACATTTAAATTGTCGGTTAATTAAATTTTTGATTCCACACTCTAAAAATATTGGTTAATACCATATAATTCCATATAATTTCTTTTTCTTTTTCTTTTTTTTTTTTTTGAGACGGAGTCTCGCTCTGTCACCAGGCTGGAGTGCAGTGGCACGATCTCAGCTCACTGCAACCTCCGCCTCCCAGGTTCAAGCAGTTCTCCTGCCTCAACCTCCCGAGTAGCTGGGACTACAGGCACCACCACCACGCCCACCTAATTTTTGTATTTTTAGTACAGACAGGGTTTCACCATGTTGGCCAGGATGGTCTCAATCTCTTGACCTCATGATCTGCCTGCCTTGGCCTCCCAAAGGGCTGGGATTACAGGCATGAGCCACTGCACGGCCACGATATAATTTCTATACTAAAGTTCACCTGTCTGATAATTTTCTTATTTAGTTTACTTCTAGATGTAATCCTATGTTTGACTCTCCGTAAACATTAGCATGAGTAAGCCTGGAAATTAACACTGTACCTGAAAATCATCATCCAAAATAACAAAAGCAGCAGCCCATTTTGGTATACTTGCTATACCTATTACTAGGCCAATAAATAGGACAAAAGCCCCACACCTCAATCACCATAATTCTGACTCTACCCATGGAGCTAGGCCTTATCTGTTTCCCAGTTAAATGCCAAGGTATCATATTTACCTCTTCATATCCTCCTCTAACATGTCAAAAATTTTCCCATTCTCAACCAATTCTTCCCATCTTTAGCTCTGTGTATCTTCCATTAGTAAAACTTTATTTGGCAGCTGAGAAGCTTTAATCAAATTCAGCTGGGAAAAACTGTGGGCTACCTATGCCTCAGTTGTTCACAAAGACTAAATAGCAGTCATTATTGTTTAAAGCCCAACTCTGATTAACCTCAATCATTTTATTTACCTCATCTTCACAGTTACTTTATTCTTCATTGAAAATTATGTGCCTGCTACCAAGACACAGCCTCTTGTCACTTAATCTATAATTGGTATTGCCAGGATACCTTTTTTTTTTTTTTTTTTTGGAGATGGAGTCTCCCTCTGTCGCCCAGGCTGGAGTGCAGTGGTGCAATCTCGGGTCATTGCAAACTCCACCTCCCAGATTCAAGGATTCTCCTGTCTCAGACTCCCAAGTAGCTGGGACTATTGGCGCATGCCACGACACCCAGCTAATTTTTGTATTTTCAGTAGAGACAGGGTTTCACCATGTTGGCCAGGATGGTCTCCACCTCTTGACCTTGTAATCTGCCCATCTCAGCCTCCCAACATGCTGGGATTACAGGTGTGAGCCACCACGCCCAGCTGATACCATTTTAAATCCTTAGGCATTGTTTGCCATTAACAAGGTTTCTGCCCAACGGTCTTCTTTTTGAAGAATTTATTAAGCACCACATTGCCATTTTAACAATTTTGTTATTACCCCCTTACCAAATAAGGTAGTAAGTGCAGTGGCGCGATCTCTGCTCACTGCAACCTCCGCCTCCCAGGTTCAAGCAGTTCTTGAACAGGTGAACTTTAGTATAGAAATTATATGGTGGCCGCGCAGTGGCTCATGCCTGTAATCCCAGCACTTTGGGAGGCCAAGGCAGGCAGGCCATGATGTCAAGAGATCAAGACCATTCTGGCCAACATGGTAAAACCCTGTCTGTACTAAAAATACAAAAATTAGGTGGGTGTGGTGGTGGTGGTGCCTGTAGTCCTGTCTCCTAAATAGGAATCTGTTAGTGAATGCTAATTGCATTTCTAACACCATAGGTTTATTAAAGGTAAGGATCCTAAGGTTCTCCTATTTTCCTTCTTAATTGTCTTCATGAATTTTATCCTTTACTAACCCCAAAATAATTTTCATTCTCTTTTCCCATGTCATTCTTTTAAAAGTCAGTATCCTTGAGAAAAATATTATTGTCAAATGTGACAAGTTTATGCTGAGTATTTTTAGTTATTTCATTTACTCTGTTTCAACAACTCTGTTGTTTACAAGCAACAGAGACCCTTTCAAGTTAGCTCATGTGGATGAATAAGCAGACTAGGAATTCATGGAAGTTCAAGAATTGAGGCTGGATATTGGTTTTAGATTCAAACTTATTCTAGAAATCTTAGATGCAGGAGTTCAAGAATCTTTCCTCCCAAACTCTGCTGTTAGTGTCACTCAGCTGAATTCTGTGTGTCTACTATTCTGTGCTAATAAACTTCTGTCTACTTATGATTTCTATTTCCCCATAATTATATTACCCATGGTCCATTATGGCCTCCCAAGTCTGGGTTCTGTCTCATAGATTTCAGCTACACCATCCACCAGTAACAGACAAATTCAGTTTTGTTCCTTAGGTCCAATTCATGAGAAAAATTCATTTGGTCAAATTAATTTTTTTGAATCTGGCCTTAGAGGGTAAAGATTACTGTCTCACCTAAAGATGAGCTGTTTCTGAGACAGATGGATAATCCAGTCCAATAAATGTGGTTGGAGGGTAGCGAAAGAGGGAAGATATCACCACATACCGAATATGGCTTCTGAAACAACAGGGCCCATTAGTAGGTCAGTTTCCCTTAGTGGAGGTTATGGACAGGGCAAGCACACAAAAAAGGTGGCCAGTAGTTACAGATGAGACAAAATGTGACCCTATTCTTTGTTTAATGTTGACCTCAATTTAATCAGATTTTATTATGCTGTTGTGTATTAAGTAATGAAACTGTTTAAGAGAAGATTGTAACAATGATAAATTCTTTAAAAGATTAATTACAGCATCTATGAAAAATCCATAGCTAACATCATCCTTAAAAGTGCCCATCAGTTGTGGATTGGATAAAGAAAATGTGAGCCAGTTGTGGTGGCCCATGCCTGTAACCCCAGCACTTTGGGAGGCCAAGATAGGTAGATCACTTGAGGTCAGGAATTCAATACCTGCCTGGGTAACCTAGTGAAACCCTGTCTCTACTAAAAATACAAAAATTAGCCACGCATGGTGGCACGTGCCTGTAATCTCAGCTACTAGGGAGGCTGAGTGTGGGAAACAAATTCACCGTCCAAACCCAAAGAATGGACTCTGAGACACAAAGAGCAGAGGAAAACGAGACTTTTTTTTTTTTTATACTTTAAGTTTTAGGGTACATGTGCACAATGTGCAGGTTAGTTACATATGTATACATGTGCCGTGCTGGTGTGCTGCACCCATTAACTCGTCATTTAGCCTTAGGTATATCTCCTAATGCTATCCCTCCCGCCTCCCCCCACCCCACAACAGTCCCCAGACTGTGATGTTCCCCTTCCTGTGTCCATGTGTTCTCATTGTTCAATTCCCATCTATGAGTGAGAACATGCGGTATTTGGTTTTTTGTCCTTGCGATAGTTTACTGAGAATGATGATTTCCAATTTCATCCATGTCCCTACAAAGGACATGAACTCATCATTTTTTATGGCTGCATAGTATTCCATGGTGTATATGTGCCACATTTTCTAAGTCCAATCTATCATTGTTGGACATTTGGGTTTGTTCCAAGTCTTTGCTATTGTGAATAGTGCCGCAATAAACATACGTGTGCATGTATCTTTATAGCAGCATGATTTATAGTCCTTTGGGTATATACCCAGTAATGGGATGGCTGGGTCAAATGGTATTTCTAGTTCTAGATCCCTGAGGAATTGCCACACTGACTTCCACAAGGGTTGAACTAGTTTACAGTCCCACCAACAGTGTAAAAGTGTTCTTATTTCTCCACATCCTCTCCAGCACCTGTTTTTTCCTGACTTTTTAATGATTGCCATTCTAACTGGTGTGAGATGGTATCTCATTGTGGTTTTGATTTGCATTTCTCTGATGGCCAGTGATGATGAGCATTTTTTCATGTGTCTTTTGGCTGCATAAATGTCTTCTTTTGAGAAGTGTCTGTTCATATCCTTTGCCCACTTTTTGATGGGGTTGTTTGTTTTTTTCTTGTAAATTTGTTTGAGTTCATTGTAGATTCTGGATATTAGCCCTTTGTCAGATGAGTAGGTTGCAAAAATTTTCTCCCATTTTGTAGGTTGCCTGTTCACTCTGATGGTAGTTTCTTTTGCTGTGCAGAAGCTCTTTAGTTTAATTAGATCCCATTTGTCAATTTTGGCTTTTGTTGCCATTGCTTTTGGTTTTAGACATGAAGTCCTTGCCCATGTCTATGTCCTGAATGGTAATGCCTAGGTTTTCTTCCAGGGTTTTTATGGTTTTAGGTCTAACGTTTAAGTCTTTAATCCATCTTGAATTAATTTTTGTATAAGGTGTAAGGAAGGGATCCAGTTTCAGCTTTCTACATATGGCTAGCCAGTTTTCCCAGCACCATTTATTAAATAGGGAATCCTTTCCCCATTGCTTGTTTTTCTCAGGTTTGTCAAAGATCAGATAGTTGTAGATATGCGGCATTATTTCTGAGGGCTCTGTTCTGTTCCATTGATCTATATCTCTGTTTTGGTACCAGTACCATGCTGTTTTGGTTACTGTAGCCTTGTAGTATAGTTTGAAGTCAGGTAACGTGATGCCTCCAGCTTTGTTCTTTTGGCTTAGGATTGACTTGGCAATGCAGGCTCTTTTTTGGTTCCATATGAACTTTAAAGTAGTTTTTTCCAATTCTGTGAAGAAAGTCATTGGTAGCTTGATGGGGATGGCATTGAATCTATAAATTACCTTGGGCAGTATGGCCATTTTCACGATATTGATTCTTCCTACCCATGAGCATGGAATGTTCTTCCATTTGTTTGTATCCTCTTTTATTTCATTGAGCAGCGGTTTGTAGTTCTCCTTGAAGAGGTCCTTCACGTCCCTTGTAAGTTGGATTCCTAAGTATTTTATTCTCTTTGAAGCAATTGTGAATGGGAGTTCACTCATGATTTGGCTCTCTGTTTGTCTGTTACTGGTGTATAAGAATGCTTGTGATTTTTGTACATTGATTTTGTATCCTGAGACTTTGCTGAAGTTGCTTATCAGCTTAAGGAGATTTTGGGCTGAGACAATGGGGTTTTCTAGATATACAGTCATGTCGTCTGCAAACAGGGACAGTTTGACTTCCTCTTTTCCTAATTGAATACCCTTTATTTCCTTCTCCTGCCTAATTGCCCTGGCCAGAACTTCCAACACTATGTTGAATAGGAGTGGTGAGAGAGGGCATCCCTGTCTTGTGCCAGGAAAACGAGACTTTTAATGGTGGTCTTGCAAGATGGGGTTTCTGCTAGGCAGGCACACCTGGGGCAGTCACAGCAGGTAATTTCTCTCCTAGCACACAAGTCCCTCCCCAAGTTCCTCATTGGTCGAGTATTATGGGGTTATAATCTTCCCAGATGTCGCCTAAGTTTCACTATCCCCTTATAAGGTCATACCCCATTCCCCTTCCCTGCTAAAGTTTCGATTCCCCAATAAGGAAACTTTCTTCCCTTTTATGGGCTGACTCTTCCTCCTGTTCGCGTATCCTGACTTTCTAGGTGCCTGAGCCATATGATTGGTCACATCCGCAGGCTGGCTGCTAGTACTTAGATTTCTATCATGCCTTGAAGATGGACCATTTCAAATGTTTTCTCACACTGAGGCAGGATAATCGCTTGAACCTAGGAGGCGGAGGTTGCAGTGAACCAATATTGCGACACTGCACTCCCATCTGGGTGACAGAGCGAGACCCCATCTCTAAAGAAAAAAAAGAAAAAGAAAAAGAAAATGTGGTACATATACACCATGGAATACTTCACAGCCATAAAAGAGAATGAAATCATGTCCTTTGCGTCAACATGGATGCAACTGGAGGCCATTATCGTAAGTGAAGTAGTGCAGAAACAGAAAATCAAAAACCACATGCTCTCACTTATACATGGGAAAAAAACAATGAGTTCACATGGACATAAAGATGAAAATAATGTCTATTTGGGGACTCCATAAAGGGGAAAGCAGGAAGAAGAGGAAGAGCTGAAAAACTACCTATTGGGTACTATGTTCACTATTTGGGTGATAGGTTCCAGCATGCATTATGCAATACACCCATGAGCAAACCTGTATATATACTCCGTGAATCTAAAATGCTGTTTTTTTTTTTAAAAAAAGTTACTGTTAAGTAAAAAACCTAAGGAATATATGAGATTTATAATATAATGCAAGTTATTAAAATTAAACACTCACCCCCCCAAAAATGGTGCTAGGACAAATTGCATCCACATGCAAAGGAATAAGTTTTTATTTCTACTTTATATCATATAAAAATTTCACTGACAATGGTTCTAAGAACTAAATGTAAGAGATAAAACCATGAAACTCTTAAAAGAAAATATAGGCATAAATATTTGTGAACTTGGATTAGGCAATAGTTTCTTAGATATGACACCAAAAGCACAAGCAACTGAAGAAAATAATAGAAAAACTGTACTGCAAAGGACACCATTAAGAAAGTGAAAAGATGGGCCGGGCGCAGTGGCTCACGCCTGTAATCCCAGCAGTTTGGGAGGCTGATGAGGGCGGATCACGAGGTCAGGAGATCAAGATCATCCTGGCTAACATGGTGAAACCCTGTCTCTACTAAAAAATACAAAAAATTAGCCAGGCGTGGTGGTGTGCGCCTGTAGTCCCAGCTACTTGGAAGGCTGAGGCAGGAGAATCGCTTGAACCCGGGAGGCAGAGGTTGCCATGAGCCGAGATGGTGCCACTGCCCTCCAGCCTGGGCAACAGAGTGAGACTCCATCTCAAAAAAAAAAAAAAGAAAAGATGACCCACAGAATGAGAGAAAATACTTGCAAATCATATATCTGATAATGAAATTGTATCCAGAATATATAGAACTCAATAATAACTCTTAGAACTCAATAATAAAAAGACAACCCAATTGAAAAACGTGCAAAGGATCTGAGCATACATTTCTCCAAAGAGGATAAACAAATGGCCAATAAACAGATGAAAAAAAGATGCTCAACATCATTGGCTCTCAGGGAAAGGCAAATCAAAAGCACATGGAGATACCATATCACACACACTGAGTGACTATAATCAAGGAGACAAGATAATAACAAGACCTTGCAAAAATGTGGAAAAATTTAAAATCCCCATATACTGCTGGTAGAGATAAAATGGTGCAGCCGCTTTGGAAAACAGTCTGGAAATTTCTTAAAACATCAAACACAGAGTTATATGGCCACCAATTCTAATCCTAGGTATATATTGAAGTGCAATAAAAATGTACATGTATACAGAAATTTGTTCACAAATGTTCATAACAACATTATTCATAATAGGCAAAAATTGGAAACAATCCAATTGTGTATCAACTGATGAATGGATGAATAAAATACGGTATATCCACACAATGGGAACGGTATATCCACACAATGGGATATTATTTGGCAATAAAAAGGAATGAAGTACTGATACATGCTAAAACATGTATGAAACTTTAAAACATTATGCTAAATGTGGCTGGGCACAGTGGCTCTTACCTGTAATCCCAGCACTTTGGGAGGCCGAGGCAGGCAGATCATTCAAGGCCAGGAGTTCGACACCAGCCTGGCTAACGTGGTGAAACCCTATCTCTACTAAAACTATAAAAATTAGCCAGAAATGGTGGTGTGCTACTATAGTCCCAGCTACTCAGGAGGCTGAGGCACATGAATGGCTTGAACCATAGGGGTGCAGGTTGCAGTTAGCCAAGATAATGCCACTGCATTCCAGCCTGGGTGACAGAGCGAGACTCTGTCTCAAAAACAAACAAACAAAAAACTTTATGCTAAATGAAAGAAGCCAGTGGCAAAAGATCACATATTGTCTGATTTCATGTATAGGAAATATCCAAAATAGGCAAATTAGTAGAGAGAAAGTAGATTCGTGGTTGCCTAGGGCTGCGAGTGGAGTGGGATTGGAGAAATAGGGAGTAAGTGCTAATAAGTATGTAATCCCTTTCTGCGATAATGAAAATGTTCCAAAATGAGTCTTAGTGATAACTGTGCAACTCCGAATATACTAAAAACCATTAAATTTTACATTTTAAGTGGGTGAATTATATGGTATATGAGTTTCTCCTAATAAAGCTGTTATTTAAACAAATTTATAAGTATACATTCCTTTGATATTTGTTACAATAATGCAGTGATTAGCTACTTGTTATACTTTCTATCCAAAAAATTGTAAGACAATTCTTATACCAATACTCCAGCAAAGAATAAAAATTAAGAACTGGAATTTCACTAGAGTAGTGATATTTTATCTGATAAGGCCAACTAGTTTAATAAAGCTGTCTACCATTTCATTATTAAACATAATATTGTCTTAAACATTGCATTATATTATAAGTTATAGTGTATTATATAAGTTTAGGATGAAAGAAAGAAAAAAAGGTTAAGGAAGTACTGAAACATGGCTTCTTCAGTGTCTGTTGTGGAATTTCAATTATAGACCAAGAAACAGTTTTTTAAAATCACCCTAGCCTAGGAACTATGTCACATGGTCTAGGGGAATATGACACATTATTGAAGAATAGTAACTCAGGGAGCCTATTATTTTAATAATAACAAGGTCCAAAACTTATTTCTGAAACTCTATGACAGAGGCTAAATACATTAGATTCATCTGGGATTAACAATGCCCAATGAGTTTCAATTTGTATAGTGCACAAAAACAAAAATAAAAACAATCATCTGCACAATTGAGCCATATGATTTCATTGAAACAGGTTACACAATGCATGAAAGGACTAGATTAGCCAGGCATGGTGGCGCACGCCTGTAGTCCCAGCTTCCCTGGGGGGTCTGAAGCGGGAAAATCAGTTAAACCCAGGAGGTCGAGGCTGCAGTGAGCCATGATCGCACCACTGCACTCCAGCCTGGGTGACAGAGCAAGACCAAGAAGGAAGGAAGGAAGGAAAGGAGGAAGGGAGGAAGGGAGGGAGGGAGGGGAAACAAAGAACTAAAAAAGTATATAAAAGAATCATTAAACACTACCAGATTTGGTAGTCAATAATATTCAAGTTCTCCTTTTTCCTGGCATATAGATAGCACTATCCTACCCCGCTGAAGTTAGATACAGCCTTATAACATTTTTTGACCAACAGAGGTGCAGTGTTAAATGATGTGTGTACTTTCTTCAGTTCTTTTCCTTCTGCCAAGGTAACCAGCAATATCCTAGCTGGTGCAACTTCTGTTAGACTGTGCCTCTCAGTATAGACAACATGGAATAGAGACCCCAATCATTCTGTGAATGATATGGATTACACCAATCCATATGAATTTACAGTATCTCTAGTTCAAAAATTGTGAAATACTGGAAATTTCAAGTAATTCAACCTAATAGCATAAACACAAAATACACTTGTTCTTTTAAGCCACTAAGACTTAGGGATTGTTTTTAGTGTAGTATACCTAATCTATACTATTAATAAGTGATTTTTTTCCCTAAAGAGCAATGAAGTCTCTTCTTAAATATTTGGTTGAGATTCACATTTATACCACTATTAAGGAGGTTGGAAATATAGAGCACTTGAATGATTACATCTGCATATTAGGATAATTTTGCACTGGATTTTAGTTTAGAATTATTCCTGAATAATTTTTTTTAAGTTCAGATTTAAAAGCTCTTTAAAGTTGAGTTCTCTTCAAGCATATGAAAAGAGAAAATAGATATTTTTCTTAGAGCCATCATTACTTTAAAAATGAAACCAGGCATGGTGGTGCACACCTTTAGTCCCAGCTATTTGGGAGGTTGAGGTAGGAAGATCCTTTGAGCCCAGGAGTTTGAGACCAGCCTGAGCAACATAGCGAGATCCTGTCTCTAAAAAAGAAAAAAAATTCTCATACATAATTCCCTAATCATTAAGAATTCTCGAAATGCTGAAGTGGTAGGATCACTCGAGTCCAAGAGGGTGAGGCTGCAATAAGCCATGACTGCGCCACTGCACTTTGGCGTGGGTGACAGAGCAAGACCCTATCTAAAAAAAAAAAAAAAAAAAAAGAATTCTCAAAAGGAAAGATTTCCTTTAAATAATTACACAAATTTAAATATGTGTTGTAAAGTCTCATGAGGAGTGTATGATAGCTCCCTTTAAGTCCTTGTAAAGTTGGTAGAATAACCAAAAATTTTTTATTTTATTTAGAAAAAAATGTTATTTTTAATTTCTGTGGGCACAGAGTAGGTGCATATATTTATGGCTGGGGTACATGAGATGTTTTGATGCAGGCATGTAATGTGAAAGAGAAACGTTTTATACCAAGCCAGTAGGACTGGAAGAGTGGTGATATGGACAGGACTGTGTCCCCCTTACCATGCATATGTTGAAGTCCTAACCCCCAGTGCCTCAGAGTGTGAATGTTTGGAGACAGGATTTTTTTATTATTATACTTTAAGTTCTAGGGTACGTGTGCACAACATGCAGGTTTGTTACATAGGTATACATGCGCCATGTTGGTTTGCTGCACCCATCAACTCGTCATTTACATTAGGTATTTCTCCTAATGCTATCCCTCCCCCAGCATCCCACCCCACAACAGGCCCCAGTGTGTGATGCTCCCTGCCCTGTGTCCACGTGTTCTCATTGTTCAATTCTCACACATGAGTGAGAACATGTCCCTGTGATAGTTAGCTGAGAATGATGGTTTCCAGCTTCATCTATGTCCCTGCAAAGGACATGAACTCATCCTTTTTATGGCTGCATAGTATTCCATGGTGTATATGTGCCACATTTTCTTAATCCAGTCTATCATTGATGGACAATTGGGTTGGTTCCAAGTCTTTGCTATTGTGAATAGTGCCGCAATAAACATACGTGTGCACGTGTCTTTATAGTAGCATGATTTATAATGCTTTGAGTATATACCCAGTAATGGGATCGCTGGGTCAAATGATATTTCTACTTCTAGATCCTTGAGGAATCTCCATGCTGCCTTCCACAATGGTTGAATGAATTTACTCTCCCACCAACAGTGTAAAAGTGTTCCTATTTCTCCACATCCTCTCCAGCATCTGTTGTTTCCTGACTTTTTAATAATAGCCATTCTAACTGGTGTGAGATGATATCTCATTGTGGTTTTGATTTGCATTTCTCTAATGACCAGTGATTATGAGCTTTTTTTCATGTTTATTGGCTGCACAAATGTCTTCTTTTGAGAAGTGTCTGTTCATATTCTTCGTCCACTTTTTGAAGGGGTTGTTTGGTTTTTTCTTGTAAATTTGTTTTCATTCCTTGTAGATTCTGGATATTAGACCTTTGTCAGATGGATAGACTGCAAAAATTTTCTCCCATTCTGTAGGTTGCCTGTTCACTCTGATGAGAGTTACTTTTGCTGTGCAGAAGCTCTTTAGTTTAATTAGATCCCATTTGTCTATTTTGGCTTCTGTTGCCATTGCTTTTGGTGTTTTAGTCATGAAGTCTTTGCCCATGCCTATGTCCTGAATGGTATTGCCTAGGTTTTCTTCTAGGGTTTTTATGGTTTTAGATCTTACATTTAAGTCTTTAATCCATCTTGAGTTAATTTTTGTATAAGGTGTAAGGAAGGGATCCAGTTTCAGCTTTCTGCATATGGCTAGCCAGTTTTCCCAACGCCATTTATTAAATAGGGAATCCTTCCCCCATTTCTTGTTTTTGTCAGGTTTGTCAAAGATCAGATGGTTGTAGATGTGTGGTGTTATTTCTGAGGCCCCTGTTCTGTTCCATTGGTCTATATATCTGTTTTGGTGCCAGTACCATGCTGTTTCGTAGTATAGTTTGAAGTCAGGTAGTGTGATGCCTCCAGCTTTGTTCTTTTGGCTTAGGATTGACTTGGCAATGCAGGCTCTTTTTTGGTTCCATATGAACTTTAAAGTAGTTTTTTCCAATTCTGTGAAGAAAGTCATTGGTAGCTTGATGGGGATGGCATTGAATCTATAAATTACCATGGGCAGTATGACCATTTTCATGATATTGATTCTTCCTGTCCATGAGCAAGGAATGTTCTTCCATTCGTTTGTGTCCTCTTTTATTTCGTTGAGCAGTGGTTTGTAGTTCTCCTTGAAGAGGTCCTTCACATCCCTTGTAAGTTTGATTCCGAGGTATTTTATTCTCTGTGTAGCAATTATGAATGTGAGTTCACTCATGATTTGGCTCTCTGTCTGTTCTTGGTGTATAGGAATGCTTGTGATATTTGCACATTGATTTTGTATCTTGAGACTTTGCTGAAGTTGCTTATCAGCTTAAGGAGATTTTGGGCTGAGATGAGGGGATCTTCTAAATTTACAATCATGTCATTTGCAAACAGGGACAATTTGACTTTCTCTTTTCCTAATTGAATACCCTTTATTTCTTTCTCTTGCCTAATTGCCCTGGCCAGAACTTCCAACACTATGTTGAATAGGAGTGGTGAGAGAGGGCACCCTTGTCTTGTGACAGTTTTCAAAGGGAATGCCTCCAGTTTTTGCCCATTCAGTATGATATTGGCTGTGGGTTTGTCATAAATAGCTCTTATTATTTTGAGATACGTCCCATCAATACCTAGTTTATCTAGAGTTTTCAGCATGAAGGGCTGTTGGATTTTGTCAAAGGCCTTTTCTGCAACTATAGAGAAAATTGTGTGGTTTCTGTCGTTTGTTCTGTTTATGTGCTGGATTACGTTTATTGATTGGCATGTGTTGAACCAGCCTTGCATCCCAGGGATGAAGCCAAGTTGATCATGGTGGATAAGCTTTTTGCTGTGCTGCTGGATTTGGTTTCACAGTATTTTATTGAGGATTTTCACATTGATGTTCATCAGCAATATTGGTGTAAAATTCTCTTTTTTGGTTGTGTCTCTGCCATGCTTTGGTATCAGGATGATGCTGGCCTCATAAAATGAGTTACAGAGGATTCCCTTTGTTTCTATTGATTGGAATAGTTTCAGAAGGAATGGTACCAGCTCCTCTTTGTACCTCTGGTACAATTCGGCTGTGAATCCATCTGGTCCTGGACTTTTTTTGGTTGTTATTAATTATTGCCTCAATTTCAGAACCTGTTATTGGTCTATTCAGAGATTCAACTTCTTCCTGGTTTAGTCTTGGGAGGGTGTATGTGTCCAGGAATGTATCCATTTCTCGTAGATTTTCTAGTTTATTTGTGTAGAGGTGTTTATAGTATTATCTGATGGTAGTTTGTATTTCTGTGGGATTGGTGGTGATATCCCCTTTATCATTTTTTATTGCATCTATTTGATTCTTCTCTCTTTTATTCTTTATTAATCTTGCTAATGTCTATCTATTTTGCTGATTTTTCCAAAAAACTAGCTCCTGGATTGATTTTTTGAAGGGTTTTTTGTGTCTCTATCTCCTTCAGTTCTGCTCCAATCTTAGTTATTTCTTGCCTTCTGCTAGCTTTTGAATGTGTTTGCTCTTGCTTCTCTAGTTCTTTTAATTGTGATATTAGGGTGTCAATTTTAGATCTTTCCTGCTTTCTCCTGTGGGCACTTAGTGGTATAAATTTCCCTCCACACACTGCTTTAAATGTGTCCCAGAGATTCTGGTATGTTGTGTCTTTGTTCTCATTGGTTTCAAAGAACATCTTTATTTCTGCCTTCATTTTGTTATTTACCCAGTAGTCATTCAGGAGCAGGTTGTTCAGTTTCCATGTAGTTGTGCGGTTTTAAGTGAGTTTCTTAATCCTGAGTTCTAATTTGATTTCACTGTGGTCTGAGAGACAGTTTGTTGTGATTTCTGTTCTTTTACTTTTGCTGAGGAGTGTTTTACTTCCAATTATGTGGTCAATTTTAGAATAAGTGCGATGTGGTGCTGAGAAGAATGTATATTCTGTTGACTTCAGAACTGTGGAGAGTTCTGTAGATGTCTATTAGGCCTGCTTGTTGCAGAGCTGAGTTCAAGTCCTGAATATCCTTGTTAACCTTCTGTCTTGCTGATCTGTCTAATATTGACAGTGGGGTGTTAAAGTCTCCCATTGTTATTGTGTGGGAGTCTAAGTCTCTTTGTAGGTCTCTAAGGACTTGCTTTATGAATCTGGGTGCTCCTGTATTAGGTACATATATATTTAGGATAGTTAGCTCTTCTTGTTGAATTGATCCCTATACCATTTTGTAATGGCCTTATTTGTCTCTTTTGATCTTTGTTGGTTTAAAGTCTCTTTTATCCGAGACTAGGGTTGCAACCTCTGCTTTTTTTTTGCTTTCCATTTGGTTGATAGATCTTCCTCCATCCCATTATTTTGAGCCTATGTGTGTCTCTGCACGTGAGATAGGTCTCCTGAATACAGCACACTGATGGGTATTGACTGTTTATCCAATTTGCCAGTCTGTATCTTAATTGGGGCATTTAGCCCATTTACATTTAAGGTTAATATTGTTATGTGTGAATTTGATCCTGTCATTATGATGTTAGCTGGTTATTTTGCTCATTAATTGATGCAGTTTCTTCCTAGTATTGATGGTCTTTACAATTTGGCATGTTTTTGCAGTGGCTGGTACTGGTTGTTCCTTTCGATATTTAGTGCTTCCTTCAGGAGCTCTTGTAAGGCAGGCCTGGTGGGGACAAAATCTCTCAGCCTTTTTCTTGTCTATAAAGTATTTTATTTCTCCTTCACTTATGAAGCTTAGTTTGGCTGGATATGAAATTCTGGATTGAAAATTTTTTTAAGAATGTTGAATATTGGCTCCCACTCTCTTCTGGCTTATAGAGTTTCTGCCGAGAGATCTGCTGTTAGTCTGATGGGCTTCCCTTGTGGGTAACCCGACCTTTCTCTCTGGCTGCCCTTAACATTTTTTCCTTCATTTCAACCTTGGTGAATCTGACAATTATGTGTCTTGGGGTTGCTCTTCTCAAGGAGTATCTTTGTGGTGTTCTCTGTATTTTCTGAATTTGAATGCTGGCCTGCCTTCCTAGGTGAGGGAAGTTCTCCTTGATAATATCCTGAAGAGTGTTTTCTAACTTGGTTCCATTCTCCCTGTCACTTTCAGGTACACCAGTCAAACGTAGATTTGGTCTTTTCACATAGTCCCATATTTCTCGGATGCTTTGTTCATTTCTTTCTACTTTTTTTCTCTAAACTTGTCTTCTCACTTTATTTCATTAATTTGATCTTCAATCACTGATATCTTTTCTTCCACTTGATCAAATTGGCTATTGAAGCTTGTTGTGTGTGTCACGAAGTTCTCGCACTGTGGTTTTCAGCTCCATCAGGTCATTTAAGGTCTTCTCTACACTACACTGTTTATTCTAGTTAGCCATTCGTCTAACCTTTTTTCAAGATTTTTAACCTCCTTGTGATGGGTTAGAACATGCTCTTTTAGCTCAGAGAAGTTTGTTATTACCAATCTTCTGAAGCCTACTTCTGTCAACTCATCAAAGTCATTCTCTGTCCAGTTTTGTTCTGTTGCTGGCAAGAAGCTGCGATCCTTTGGAGGAGAAGAGGTGCTCTGGTTTTTAGAATTTTCAGCTTTTCTGCTCTGGTTTCTCCCCATTTTTGTGGTTTTATCTACCTTTGGTCTTTGTTGTTGGTGACCTACAGATAGAGTTTTGGTGTGGATGTCCTTTTTGTTGATGTTGATGCTATTCCTTTCTGTTTGTTAGTTTTTCCTTCTAACAGTCAGGGCCCTCAGCTATAGTTCTGTTGGAGTTTGCTGGAGGTTC
This sequence comes from Homo sapiens, assembly GCF_000001405.40. Classification (NCBI taxonomy): domain Eukaryota; kingdom Metazoa; phylum Chordata; class Mammalia; order Primates; family Hominidae; genus Homo; species Homo sapiens. The sequence goes on along the minus strand of NC_000004.12, from coordinate 88,539,805 downwards.
ACTCCAGACCCTGTTTTCCTGGGTATCACCAGCGGAAGCTGCAGAACAGGAAATATTGCAGAACAGCAAATATTGCTGCCTGATCCTTCCTCTGGAAGCTTCGTCCCAGAGGGTCACCTGCCTGTATGAGGTGTCTGTCGCCCCCTACTGGGAGGTGTCTCCCAGTCAGGCAACACAAGAGTCAGGGACCCACTTGAGGAGGCAGTCTGTCCATTCTCAGAGCTCAAACGCCGTGCCACTGCTCTCTTCAGAGCTGTCAGACAGGGACGTTTAAGTCTGCAGAACTTGTCTGCTGCCTTTTGTTCAGCTATGCCCTGCCCACAGAGGTGGAGTCTATAGAGGTGGTAGGCCTTGCTGAGCTGCAGTGGGCTCTGCCCAGTTCAAGCTTCCTGGCTGCTTTGTTTACCTACTCAAGCCTCAGCAATAGTGGATGCCCCTCTCCCCCCGAGGCTGCAGCCTCGCAGGTTGATTTCAGACTGCTGTGCTAGCAGTGAGCAAGGCTCTGTGGGCATGGGACCCGCAGAGCCAGGCACGGGAGGGAATCTCCTGGTCTGCCGGTTGCTAAGACCATGGGAAAAGCACAGTATTTGGGCGAGAGTGTACTGTTTTTCCAGGTACAGTCTGTCATGGCTTCCCTTGGCTAGGAAAGGGAAATCCCCTGACACCTTGCGCTTCCCAGGTGAGGCGATGCCCCACACTGCTTTGGCTCGCCCTCTGTGTGTTGCACCCACTGCCCAACCAGTCCCAATGAGATGAACCAGGTATCTCAGTTGGAAATGCAGAAATCACCTGTCTTCTGCATCAATCACACTGGGAGTTGCAGACTGGATCTGTTCCTATTTGGCCATCTTGGAAGCAAGTGGAGATAGGACTTTTAAAGAGGTATGAAATGACAGTAAAATGAGGTTATGGTGGGTGGATCCTGATTCAATATGACAGATGTCTTATAAAAAGAGGAAATTGGGCCGGGCATGGTGGCTCACGCCTGTAATCCCAGCACTTTGGGAGGCCGAGGCGGGCAGATCACGAGGTCAGGAGATCAAGACCATCCTGGCTAACACGGTGAAACCCCATCTCTACTAAAAATACAAAAAATTAGCTAGGCATGGTGGCGTGCACCTGTAGTCCCAGCTACTCGGGAGGCTGAGGCAGGAGAATAGCGTGAACCCAGGAGGCAGAGCTTGCAGTGAGCGGAGATCGCACCACTGCACTCCAGCCTGGGTGACAGAGCGAGACTTCGTCAAAAAAAAAAAAAAAAAAGAGGAAATTGGGACACAGACATGTACAGAGAGATGACCATGTGAAGTCAACAGAGAGACAGCCATCTATAAGCCAAGGAGAGAGGCTTAGAAGAAACCAAACCTGCCAACACGTTGATACCTAGCCTCAAGAATTGTCAGAAAACAAATTCTGTTGTTCAAGCCATCCAGTCTGTGGTACTTTGTTATAGCAGGCCTAGCAAACTAATAGGCAGCTATTGCCACGATACTCCATGGTGTACAGTGTCATCTCAAAGAGCATTGCAGTGTGAAAGAGGTCTTTAGCAACTGAATCTAGTGAGAGAAGGAAATGTTGTACTCCAAACTGCATGGTTCCTTTACTGCGATGCAAAACCATTTGAAAGAATAGTTTAAGAACCTCCCATTTATTGTGTTAGATTTCTAACTCCAGAAAACAAGTAAATATCCATTGATTCACCTGTACCATTTCAATATAGTTCTCCCTTAAAGAATATGTGGGTCAAACAAAGAGGCTGAGAGTAAGGACTCACAGATTTAACACCAACATAAACCTATTTTTGATTGTAAAGTATGGCTAATAACATAGGACATTATCTTCCTGTCAGAAGGTTTTTGACAAGTGATCTAGCTGTGAGCCAAATGCACAGTGTCACAGAAACAACAGTTCTGCTGCTATTCGAGCTTCATCCCTGAGGGGCTGCTAAATGCAGATCTCCCATTTACTTAAGGCTTTAATATTCAGTGCTATGGATTTCAGAGCTACATCTTGTTTTTATAAATAATTTTGCAGCTAAAGCACTAAAAATGTCAGAAGATCACCATTTTAAAGTCTTTTGATTTTTATATGTAATCTCTAAGAAGGCCAAATAACACAGCTAAACAATTTCTATTTAGAACACAGAGGAACACTTGGTCTCTCTTTTGTTTAGCCTTCAATATAACCTCATCCCTGTATGCTACTTATTGATTACATAGAGGAAAACAGTAATTTACAGTAGTGACAACTTAAACGGACCACTTTAATCAAATGATCAGAGTTAGCATAACCAGTAATAATTCTTGGTAGGATGCACTAAAAATGACACAGTGTTACTTCTGTGGTATCCTGGCAAAAAATGTGTAACTTAAAAATATATATTACCTGAATCTAATCATGAAGAAATATCAGACACATCCAAATTGAGGAATAGACTTGCTGCAAGTAAACTTCCCATAATGCCTCAAAACATCAAGGTCATGAAAGACAAAAAAAGACCAATGAACTGTTTCAGATTACAAGAGATGAATGAGACGTGATGACTAAAAGTCATGTCTCATCCTGGATTGGATCTTGGACCAGAAATCCTTTTCCTTTTGCTATAAAAATACATTAAGGGAACAAATGGTGAAATTTAAATTCATAAATTATACAGTAATATTGTATAAATATTAATTTTCTGATTTTGATAATTGTCCTGTGGTGATGTAAGAGAATATATTTTGTTTTGGTTTTCATTTTGTTTTGAAGTGTTAAAGTGTAAATGAACCTCATGTCTGCAAGTTGCTGTCAGTTTTTTAAAATCTAGCTACAGAAATCTGTTAATTTAAGAAATCCAGGTGAAAGTATATAAGAATTCTTGGTCGTATTTTTATAACTTTAGTGTGTGTTTTAAAAATATATAATCCCAGGCAGAAAATAATTTAGAAGACAGCTCTGATAGAGTACTCCTTCTAGCACCTCCACCCTAACATATTACTCAAAATTATAATCAGATTGGGAAAGAGTTTATATGTTTTGAATTTCTCTAAATTGAAAAAAAATTCATTGTGCTTTTCTTTTCACAGGTAGCTAAATTACAAGCAGATTCTGTAACTGTGTAATATTTTTTTCTATTGGCAAGTTAAGAGGAACAACATTTGGTACTAGACATATTACATTCATTTTACAAGTGTTTATTAAACATATACTATGTGCCAGCCACTGTGCTAGATTTAGGGATAAAGAAATAAAATACACATGGTATGTGACCTAAAGGATCTTCTAGATTAGTACAGGAGACAGACATATAAAAGAATACTTGTAAAGAAGTAATAAATGTTATAATAAGAGTGAGTGAGTGAGTGAGTATGTGTCGGGGTAGGGTAGTTTACTGTTGTATACAAGGGATTGATGGTCAATTCCCAGGAAGCAGGGAGAAGGAAGGAGTTAGAAAAATCTTCATAAAAGTGTCTGTGTTTGAATTGGGTCTTAAAAGCTGAGTAGTGGTTTAGAGGGACAATGGAGTAAAGATATTCTGGGCAGAAGAAATGGCATGAACAAAAGACATGGAGCTATGAAACAGGCTATTATGGGGACAACAAATAGTTCAGAATGGCTGAATTCAAGATGAGAAGTGGCCACAGTGAGAGAATATGCTGGAGACAGTCTGGGGCCAGTTGCTGGAGGGCCTCATAAGCCACTATGCCAGAAGCTTTTGCACAAACCTAGGGAAATCATCTGGGAGCTTTTGGCCACTTGAGTGCATCAGTGAATAACTAATTTGTTAAACTATTACATGCAAAGCAAGGTGCATTGAGGTAGGTCATCCTAGCCCCATGAGATGATTTGTGTTTATTGTAATAAGGAAATGGAACCAAGAATTGGATGCACTCCCATCTTTCTATCTTACATTATGACATAAGAAACATTTGCATTATTTCTACTCTGTAATATTTCTGTAAGAGATTTCAGGAGTGCTGTGGTTTGAATATGTCCTCCAAATGTCTTGTATTGGAAACTTAAGTGCCAAATTCATCTGTTGGTTGGAGGTGGGGCCTTTGAGAGGTAATTGGGATTAGATGAGGTCATTCGTGTGGGACCCCCATGATGGGACTGGTGGCTTTATAAGCAGAGGAAGAGAGACCTGAGCTGACACACTTGCTCCTGTCCTCCTGCCTTGGGATGCCCTTCATCATGTGATTGGATGTGGGAGGTGAAAAGATGAAGTCCATCATGACTTCAGACCTCAGCCCAGGTGACTCAGAAGATGGTGGTATCATTTACTAAGTTCAATACAGAACAAGGAGAGTTTTCTGGGGAAGTGTAGGTGAGTGGATAGTAAATTTAAGAAGATCATTCTGATTTAGTCACCTTATATAACATTTTTCAGTTTATGAATTCTCTAAGTTGGTGACTAAAGTACTTTTCAGTAAGATCTTTACATTAAAATAAAATGTCCCTAATGACTAGACCAAACTCAAACTACTGAAATATTTAGTCGTATTTTCCATTGCAATGAAATCAAGAAGAAAGCAGGGCAGAGTGGGAATCCCAGGGCAGTGCCCTAGGTGCTGGCAGGCCAGGTGTAAGTTCAAGGTTGGTCTCTGAGTCAGTCAAAGATGCCTGACAGGCTTAGAAAACTAGGAAAAGCAGACTTTCAAAAACTTGGAATTGTGACCATAGTTTCAATAAAAATACTCAGGACTCAATTTACTTTCATCTAGCCATGATTCTGGTAAAAATTATCTATTTTTTTCATATGCAATAACTCTTGTGTTAGCTACATCACTGGAGAGTCAAATCAAGTTAAAGTTGTCAAATTCCTGACTCTCTTCAACTATGGAAAACACAGCTTTCTGTAATAAAAGAGCTTTTACAATATCCCCATCTTCTTCATCTGAATACAAAAAAATACTTCTTTTGGAGGTTCATTTCCTTTTACACTATGGACTATTTGATGGCTACAACCTGAACAGTCATTGAAAACACACACAAAGTAAAACACCTATTGATTATTATTTTGAGAATTACTTCAGTTGTTTTCAAAGGTACCATAATGCACTAGCTTAAACCTGGATAATAAAAAAGCCATATAGAATCACACATTTCAAAGCTGTAAACTTGCTGTCTTAATTTTTTATTTTTTTCTGAGAGCATGAGGCTTTTAAAATCATGTTAATGCCATGAAAAATTCCATTCATAACTTTCATTTAATAAATTGGAAAAGGAAATGGTAGACGTTTGGGGAAAAAAAGCCTTGCAGTATGAGATCCTTTTAGTCACAGGAACTGACTAAGTAGAGGGAAGAGGACTGGAAAGTTTTTTTCTAGGAAAAAAAAAACAAAACTGTTAGACTAATAGAAGATGCCACTGGGTAATTATAGTGTTTAAAATCATTCTAGAGCAGGATTCCTCAGCCTGGTCACTGTTGACATTTTGGGCCAGTTAATTCTTTGTCGTGAGGGGCTGTCCTGTGCATGGTAAGATGCTTGGTGGCATCCCTGGCCTCTGCCCAGGAGCACCACCCCAGTTGTAACCATCAAAAATACATCCACACATTGCCAAATATTCCTGGGGTTCAAAATCATTCCAGTTGAAAAACCAGTGTTCTGGAGTCTTGCTACTAAAAGTGTGGTCTGCGATTCAGCAGCAGCATCCGGAAGCTGTTAAGAAAAGATTTCAAGCCTCCTATTCAGTATGATCCTAGTCATAATGAGTCAGAATTTGCATTTTAACAAGATTCCCAGGTGACTCATATGCATATTCAAGTTTGAAAAGCACTGTCAGATGATATGGATCATATTTATCCATTAGCAGGAGGGCAGTGGAGAAGAAGGAGGAATGGGAGGTAGAAAGAGGGAGGAAGGGAGTAAAAAAAGATAGAAGCTAAGAAACCTGGGTGATAGTGAAGGTACATAGCACTTTAAAACCAAGCATAAATAACTTTTCTTTTTGTGAAATTTTGAACAAAGTTGCCAGTAAGAACGATAAAGAAGAAAGTTTTATTATTGGGATTTTAAAGGGAAAAATGTTAGAAAAGTAGAGATAAAGAAATTAGGACTATGTATGAAGTTAGCCACAACTTTAAATCATTGAGGCCTAGATTAGAATCATGACTATTAAGATCAAAGTGCTGAAAGCCAGAAGACTTATGAAGAAACAAATTGTAAGAAATGGTGAACAGCCAGATGTGAAAGAGAAATTACAAAGGCTTTTGGCATGCTGTTTCTCACCGGTCCCCTTCCAAGCTAGTCTGCATCATGACAAGGAAAACCTTGAGAAAGGGCAGGGGATAGTAGTATGAGTAGCATCAAATTACTCACATAGGTCTCAGGTGACATCGTTTTGCCTCCTTTTATCCCTTCAATTTTATTTATAAAATCAGAATTTTCCATGGTGTGATGGTTAATAATGTGTCAACTTGATTGGATTGAAGGATACAGAGTATTGTTCCTGGGTGTGTCTGTGAGGGTGTTGCCAAAGGAGATTAACATTTCAGTCAGTGGACTGGGAGACGCAGACTCATCCTCAATGTGGGTGGGCACCATCCAATCACCTGCCAGCGTGGGCAGAATAAAGCAGGCAGAAGAAGGTGGAATGAGCAGACCTGCTGAGTTTTCTGGCCTTCATCTTTCTCCCATGCTGGATGCTTCCTGCCCTCAAACATCAGGCCCCAAATTCTTCAGCTTTTGGACTCTTGGACATACATCAGTGGATCGCCAGGGATTCTCCGGCCTTCGGCCACAGGCTGAAGGCTGCGCTGTCGGCTTCCCTACTTTTGAGGTTTTGGGACTCAGACTGGCTTCCTTGCTCTTCAGCTTGCAGATGGCCTGCTGTGGGACTTCACCTGGTGACCGTGTGAGTCAATTCTCCTTAATAAAGTCCGTTTCGTATATTCATCTATCCTATTAGTTCTGTCCCTCTAGAGAACTCTAATACATATGGGATTAGTACAAGAGGTAAGTTATCTTGCCTCTTCCTCAAGCTCTCCCTTGAACCCTTGCAAAAAGAAAATTCCCCACATTGTTTTCCTAAATATTACAACTCTACGTCCAGAGGATGATTGTTTTCCTGAGTACTTGTTAGTACTTCTACTCTTCATTCTTTTTAGTAATTCTGATCAGGACCTTTTATTTTCTATTATAATGGGCCAATGTGATGGTTAGTTTTATGTGACATCTTGACTGAGCTGAGGGATGCCTAGTTAGCTGGTAACACATTATTTGTGTTTGTATCTGTGAGGGTGTTTCTGGAAGAGATTAGGATTTTAATTTATAGGTTGAGTAAAGAAGATCTGCACTCACTTATGTGAATGGACATCATCCAATCCTATGAGAGCCTGAATAGAATAAAAAGGTGGAGGAAGGGTGCATTTGCTTCTCATTTGAGCTGGGACAGCCATATATACTCCCCTGCCCTCAGATACTGGTGCTGGGTTCTAGAGCCTTTGAGCTCTGATCTGGACCTACACTGTTGGCTCCCGTGGTTCTCAGGCCTTTGGACTTGGACTGAGTTATATCACCAGCTTTCTCCCGCTGGTTTTCCAGCTTGCAGAGGGCAGATTATGGGACTTCCAGGCCTCCGTAATTGTGTAAGTCAATTCCTGTAATAAATCTCCTGTTTTATAAATATATCTATATAGATATCTATATAGTGTTTCAGGCCACTATTCTTTACTATATATTAATCACTATTCTAAGTGATTTACATATTTTATGATCACATCTACACTCTGGGGTAGTTGACCAGTCAGGGTTCAGTGTAGGAAAAAGAAATTGTTCTAGGAATTTCCAGTATATAGGAATTTAATATACAGAACTATGTGTTTATAAATTCATTAAAATGGCTGGAAAAGCAGAAACAGGGGGCTGCTTCTGGAGTTTTGGTGTTAAGCTAATGCTCTAATAGCTGTGACCCAGAAGAAACTGTTACTGCAACCACTGCTGTGGCTGCCACAGCTGCCCTGTGCTAAGAAGACACTGCCCCTTGCATCTAGAGAGTGCAGCATTCATCTAACCCATGCAAATCCTGTGTCTGTCAGAACCTGCGTGTCAACTCTCCCTGCTGCAGGAAGCTCATCTCTGCCTCCCTTTCAAATTTCACGTGTGTGTATCTAGCTGGCAGAGTCTATTTCATAGCCAGAACCCTATCTATAAAGGAGTCTGGAAAATGTACTTGTTCGTTTTCCAACTTCTTCAAATAGGAGGGTTGAGAGAGCAACAGCTCATCTTCAGATGGAGGTTGAGAGAGCAACAGCTGCCACAGATTTCAAGCAGAGTTGGAAAGAACTGCAAATTTTTTATTGATTTCATTTGTTCTAAATAGACAAATTAATATCATGTGGAGTTGCTTATCTGGATATTTTCTTGTGATATATTTATAGTTTTAGTGAACGCTTATTTTTAAAGTTTATATTTCAAAATATGTATGAATAGGATATTTTAAAGAACAAAATAGTGGTGATGACTCCCATTAAGAAATACTATTGGCTGTGCACGGTGGCTCATGCCTGTAATCCCAGAACTCTGGGAGGCTGAGGGGGGAGGACAGCTTGAGGCCAGTTCAACTAACCTGGGCAACATAGCACAACAACAATTTAATTTAAATTAAAAAATTTTAAAAAAATTTTAAATTTTAAAAATTTAAAAAATTTTTAAAAATACTATTCCTGCCAGGCATGGTGGGTCACGCCTATAATCCCAGCACTTTGGGAGGCTGAGGAGGGCAGATCGCCTGAGGCCAGGAGTTCAAGACCAGCCTGCCCAACATGGCAAAACCCCATCTCCATTAAAAATACAAAAAAATTAGCCAGGCGTGATGTGGTGGTACACACCTGTGGTCCCAGCTGCTTGGGAAGCTGAGGCCAGGAGAATCACTTGAACCTGGGAGGTAGAGGTTGCAGTGAGCTGAAATCGCACCACTGCACTCTAGCCTGGGCAACAGAGCAAGACTCTGTCTCAAAAAGAATAAAAATAAAATACTATTCCTCTTTCCATATATTGATATCTTAATTATGTTGAACTTTTAGGCTTAAGCTCAAACCTGGCCATTTTCGTGATCAGTTTTGAAATGTTATACACAGAAGCCATTTAAAATGTATATTAATATGCAGCCCTACAATATTTACTCAAGTCCACATTATTCACTCTTACCTGAGCTGTAGTATAGTATTGATGGCTCATCATACTCATCTCTGCCTAGCAAACTTTTATATTCTACTTGCAAAGTTAAAATTGTTTTTGTGGATTAAAAAATGAGGAAAGGAGATAAAATGGGTGTCCCCTGAGGTCTCAGTAAATAATTTCTTACGGCTATAAGACCTATACTGACACTCCCCTAAGCCCTCCTTAGGCCTTAGGCACAGCCTTCTTTGTGAGCCTCATATACAGTATAAGTTCAACAAATGTTGAATGAATACACGAAAGAATGCATTATATGTAAACCTGAATTTTCTATTTAACTTTATCCTGTGCTGTTTATTCCACTTAAGATTATAAACATCTTGAAAATAGGGATAGCTTTTTTTTTTTTCTTTTGGAGACGGAATCTCACTCTGTCACCTAGGCTGGAGTGCAGTGGCACGATCTTGGCTCACTGCAACCTCCACGTCCCTGGTTCAAGCAATTCTCTTGCCTCAGCCTCCTGAGTAGCTGGGATTATAGGCACTGCCACCACACCAAGGTAATGTTTTGTACTTTTAACAGAGACAGGGTTTCACCATGTTGGCCAGGCCAGGATGGTCTTGAACTCCTCAGGTGATCCGCCTGCCTCAGCCTCCCAAAGTGCTGGATTACAGGCGTGAGCCACCACACTCAGCTGGAATAGCATCTTATATGCCTTTATACCCCTCCTTTCCACCTCCTAATATAATCTGAGAACACAGGAAGTGATCAATATTTACTGAACCGAATCAATAGTTTTGAAATAAAGTATTCTTTTATCAATTATGAACTGGTAATGTTTATATTTTAAAACTACTTTATTAAATAAAAAATTTTAAACAGAGAAACATTTAAAGAACAATTCAGCAATATTTCAACCAGCTAAAGAGAACCAACATTTTTTTTTTTTTTGAGACATAGTCTCTCTCTATTGCCCAGGCTAGAGTGCAGTGGTGTGATCTCAGCTCACTGCAGCCTCTGCCATCTGGTTTCAAGCGATTCTCCTGCCTCAGCCTCCCGAGTAACTGGGATTACTGGCGCCTGCCACCACGCCTGGCTAATTTTTCTATTTTTAGTAGAGACGGGGTTTCACCATCTTGGCCAGGCTGGTCTTGAACTCCTGACCTCGTGATCCACCGGCCTTGGCCTCCCAAAGTGCTGGGATTACGGGTATGAGCCACTGCGCCTGGCCTGTTTTTTTATTTTTTAGAGACAGGGTCTTGCTCTGTCTCCTAGGCTAGAGTGCAGTGGTGCCATCATACCTTACTGTAACCTCGAACTCCTAGGCCCAAGTGATCCTCCTTCCTCAGCCTCCTGAGTAGCTAGTACTTGCAGGCACTGCCATAGCCAACTTTTTTATTTTTTGTAGAAATGGAGTCTTGCTAAGTTGCTCAGTCTGGTCTTGAACTCCTGGCCTCAAGCAATCCTCCTGCCTCGTGCAGGATTACAGGTGTAAGCCACAGCACTCAACCAACATTTTGGTTGTTATTTGTTTTTTGCCCCTATGCCGATGTTCTGGGTTTAAAAATATAATCATTGTGCATACATTTTTGTGTCCTGCTTGTTTTTCACTTATTATAATTTTCTGTGTTGTTATGAGTTTTTATTTTTAAATCTGAATAATGGTGCATGCCTGCCACATAGTGGACATTCAATAAATTAATAAATTAATACTTTATTCATTTATTCATAAACATTAAGAATTACATTTTTAAAATATTTACTATTTTGATAGATGAGAAATGGAAACTTCTTTGATTTTTTAAAAAATTAAGATCACTTTTATTTATCGAAGAGCAAAATAGTAAATTAACAAAACCTTAGCTGATAGAGAAATAACACCGGAAGTCTTGTGCATGTGATTATCAACTAAGTAACTGGTTGAAGTCAGGATATAAATCACTGGATAATTTTTTGTGGAAAGACAGAATAAATTGATGAGGCCCTTAATAAAGAAATGGAAATGAAACCTTGCCCTTTGGAGAAAGAGCACTCTGTAATTCCTATAGCCACCACTCTTCGTCAAAGAGAAACAGGGTTGTGACAATGGTCCCATGAGCCTGGACCTAGGACCCTCTTCAGCTTGTCTCTTGCTTGACTTTGGAGAGCAGACTGGGCATGACACAGAGGCCAGAGACTAATTTGACAATGGGAAGGTTAAAAACTTCATATCCTGGGCCCACTCTTTGATCTTGAGCCATTAGTTCCACAGTTTCTCTTGGCCTTTCATGTCTAAAAAAATGTCCAAGTATTACTGTTACCACCTTGAGAGACGTGGCTGCTGCCATCAGTAGGTGAAAGGTTGTCTTGCTGCCTGAGATGGAAAGTCCCTAGCCAACACCTTATTTTCTGGCTGTATAAGACAGCGACCCAAAAAGCAAAGGGTTGGGAGGAGGACAGGCAGTCCAGCAGGTGACCATTTAGAACTTCGTGCTATAAATGGTTTTGGATTTCCAAAGATGAAACGAGTCTCCCCAGCACAGGGCAGTTGCAGGTCACACCCCCAGGGCCTGACTGGTTTTATCAATCTGGCTGTTTGGGGTCAGTGCAAAGGACATCCTCACCACCTGGATTGCACATATACACAGATGGTGATGATTCTGATATACAGGAAATTGGCGTGAAACTACAGTCTCGCTTTTGCATAGCAACCTTTCACTTTTGGATCTGAGGGGCAAGATGCTTGCTATCCGCTGGACCAATCACTCATGCCATTTACGCCACAGCAGTGCAGAAATGACTGGATGGAGTCCCACATCGCCTTGGTGCTGTTGTCCCAGTGGTAATGGTAGATGCTGTCCGTCAGGCCCTCAGCTACCTATACATTCAGCTTCCGTTCGTAAACAAAGTGCAGGATGGCCAAGATCACCTCAGCAAGGAGGATAACCGGCAGCAGAATGAACAAGGACATAAGCAGGCACCTGTTTTTCTTGACAGAACCTATGCAGCCCAGGAAGGCAACCACCGTGATAATGGAGACCACGATGACAAGCACATTGCCCGGCATGAGGGAGGGGAGCTTATGGAAGAGCACTCCCAAACTGTTGTGGATCAGCGGGTACATCCCCATAACTGCAGCAGCCACAGAACCAAAAGAGCAAGTTGGGCTGTGCGTGGTAGCTCACGCCTGTAATCCCAGGACTTTGGGAGGCTGAGGCGGGAGGATCACTTGAGCCCAGGAGTTCAAGACCAGCCTGGGCAACATAGTGAGACCCTGACTTTACAAAAAAAATTTTAGAAATTAGCCAGGTGTGGTGGTGCATGTGTGTGCCTATGGTCCCAGCTACTCAGGAAGCTGAGGTGGGAGGATTGTTTGAGCTCAGAAGGTGAAGGCTGCAGTCAGCTATGATGGAGCCACTGCACTCCAGCCTGGGAGATAGAGCAAGATCCTGTCTCAAAAAAAAAAAAAAGAAAGAAAGAGAGAAAGTGAGAGAGAGTAAGAAAGAAAGAAAGAAAAGAAAGAAAGACAGGACATACTTCCATAATTTCAAGCTACTTGTGCCCATGCTGGGATATTCTGGTCCTTTTGCAGGCACTAGTCCTCAGCCCTTCAGACAGAATTTGTGATTATCCTTCAGATGGCCAAAACAAGGCTGGTAACATTCATGTCTAGAGTTATTTCAAAACTCCTTTGATGTTTGAAACTAGCATTACTACTTTACTATTGAGGATAATTTTTTAATATGTTTATTGACCAACTGTATTTTCTTTTTTGCGAATTTTTCTTTTCAAATATTTTGTCCATTTATCTATTGGAAACTTGATTTTAATAAACTCATCATTAAAATTTATTAATAGGACTTTTATGATTTTTGTTTTTAAAATAAATGTTGGGCTGGGCACAGTGGCTTATGCCTGTAATCCTAGCACTTTGGGAGGCCAAGGTGGGTGGACTGCTTGAGCTCAGGAGTTCCAGACCAGCCTGGGCAACATGAAACACCATCTCTACAAAAAATACAAAAATTAGCTGGGTGTGGTGGCATGCACCTGTATTCCCAGCTACCTGGAGGCTGACATGCCAGGATTGCTTGAGTCTGGGAGGTCAAGGCTGCAGTGAGTCACGACTGCACCACTGTACTCCAGCCTGGATGACACAGAGAGAATCTGTCTCAAGAAAATAAAATAAAAATAAAAAATAAGTGTTGTCAAACTAAGAAACAATTGGCAAAATGAAAGTAAGTCTTTGTAATCACAGAAAGAAAAGATCAAGCAGAGATAAATGTTAGTTCAAATACTAAATGATGCCATCTAGTGGAAAATTTATTTTGACTCATTTCTTTGGATTGCAGGTTCACAAATTTCAATGCCCCCAAATTTGGAATTGACAGGCTCTGTTAAAATACATAGTCCAGCCCCTCTTCTGCCTAGAGATTTCTAACTTCATGTGTGTGATAATCCAAGAATTGTGTTTCAATAGTATCCATATTGGAAATTAGAAAAATTCCATTTCAGTTAAAAAGAGTGTCCCAGAAGTACCTTGTGCTTTCCCTTTCCATCAGAATGTTTACTAGTTTCACCATAATAAATAATTTTATTGCTAAACATTCTTTAAATGTGTTAGCCCCTGTGCTGTTTTACTTGAATTGTTTTATTTAGTCTGTTCAAACACTGTAAGTTACATACTATTATTATTGTATTTCACAAGTGAGAAGGTTGAGGGTGAGAACTTAAGTAGCTTCTCCAAGATCACACAGCTATATTGTATCTGAGCCCAGAAACCATCAGGTTATTGTGCACAGGCCTATGTGACACGAAAGGTCAGTCATGTGAATAGTGAAAAGGGACTAACTTTTAAAAGACCAGTTCCAGTCCCATGATCCTATCCTATCATCTACATTTAGCTTAGTATACTACAGGCAGAAATGAATTGTATTTCTTCATTACTAAGGGCTATTTAGGGACATATTGCTTTGATATGTTGCAACTTAATACACACATGGTGATAGTCATACATTCATATGTTCCTTAAATATTGGTTGTTGATTTCTGGTGTTATAAATTTGAGGATGTTTTCAATACTTTGCTGTTACTCTCTATTCTTCCCCTAAATAAAGTAAACTGAACTGCCTCAAACCCTCTATGTGGAGGCAAACTGAAACTAATTTATTTATAACTGGTTAGAAAACCCAGTTGATAGAGATCTGTCAGCCAAGCTAGCTGAGGCTTAAGCATGGGTGCCTTCCCCTACCCAACAAGCGCCAAGGGTTGGGCCCACTCAGCGCTTGCAGAAGTCAAGCGCTGTTTCTCCTTAAGCAGAAACTTATCTTTCCTACAGCTCACCCCTTCCCTTGAGCCCAAAGTATCAACTGACTTCAACTGAAAAATTAATTCCTGCTACTGCCCTAGTCGGAAATAGTGTGAAGGTGACATAGGAACTTTACAGTAGTTTCCCTTGAGGGTATGTCCCGATAACTGCCCTATTCTCTAGTCCGTTAGTAACTCTAATAACGGAAAGTTATGACTGTGAAAGATTGCTTTGTGAGGGAAGGAAGGTGAGGCAACCAGAGACTTTCATTATCTCTTAAATATCTATCCAGTAGAAGTGTTTCCTTTTTGGTATCCTATAAACTACATTAACCTTAGAAAATCTTCTGAGCATTAGTGAACAAAGAACATCAAAAAATAAACTGTTTTTTTTAAAAAAAACAGGATGGCCCAAAAAACAAACAAAAAATTAGGATGAACATATAAACATTTGTCAGTTTATTTTTACATTGGAGTGGAAGAGAAATTTGAAAATATAAACATATTTTTGGATTCTGTACTTCCAGCTCCAGGAACTCAAAGTGTGAAATGATAATGCCCAGTGATGCAAAAAAAAAGTTCAGGTTGATATTCAGCAGAACGGAGGGAAAAAATGGATGACTAATGAGAATCTTTGAGTCTTCGGACATGGAAAAACTAGATGAACTAAAAATAAAAATAGACAACATTAATGGAGCATTAATTTGTGCCAGGCACTTTTCTAAATGTTCTTCGAATGCACAATCACATTTATGCCCTACCTACAAGGTAGGTACAATTATTAGTCTTATACAGATAAGGAAAATGAGCAGTTAAGTCATTTGCCAAAGTCATCCAGCTACTAATTGTGGACAGGGAACCAAGCTGTCAGGCCCCAGAGCCCAAGTTCCCATCTACTACACTGTAAGAAAGAGATCTAACATGGTCACTTTCTTGGAGAGTGGGAAGCAAACCTGGGATACAAATTCACTGAATGGATCACCCACTCATTGAATGGATCTTTAACAGGCAGATCACATCTGCCTGTTACACAGCTATTTAGGCCCCTTGCGGCCTCCAAGCTCATTTATAGAAGTAAATTAGCTGTGCTTTATTACGCAAATACTTCACAATGACTGGGTCTCAGGCAGGAAGAATTTATATATTTTGGAGGGTCAGAGGCCTAGGCCCTTCCTTCCAGGTTCTCACTTTTTTTAATGAGAGAGAAAAAAGCCAAACAAGGTTACAGAAACTAATGGTATAGTAAAGATGTACATGAAACAAATGAGCGCTTTCAATACATCCATGACAATACATTCGGTACAATACATAACAGTGTGTTTGAAACTTCACTTGGAGGTAACCACGTAGGTCCAAGCCTAACTCCCTACAACTCTGAGGCCTGGCCACTGGCTTCCTAGCATCCTTGGACAGGCCCCGGTGAAAACCCAGACACCTTGACTTAAACACTGGTTTAGTTTGTAGTCTGGTAAGGCGGCGGGGCACTCACCAGAGGCCTCTGCCCTGGGGCTGTCCTCCGGACTATAGATGACGCCCGTGGGAAAAGCAGTCGGAGCAGAAGCACCCTCGGAACCAAAGCGCCCGCCCCGCCTACTCCTCGGCAGCGTTTCCTGGAGGACCAGGGGGCGGGGCCTGCCCGGCTGGCCTGGACGAACGGGAAGCCGGGAGCTCGGCCACGGGTGGCGAGGCTGCGGTGAGGCCTGGTCTCCGGCTGCCAGACCATGCTGAGTGGAGCACGCTGCAGGCTCGCCTCAGCGCTGCGGGGAACGCGCGCGCCGCCGTCCGCGGTCGCCCGTAGGTGCCTGCACGCGTCGGGGTCGCGGCCTTTGGCCGACCGGGGCAAGAAGACTGAGGAGCCGCCCCGCGACTTCGATCCGGCGCTGCTGGAGTTCCTGGTGTGCCCGCTCTCCAAGAAGCCGCTCAGGTAACTCGCTGGCCTTGGCCCTTCCTTTGCAGCCTCCCGGTGGGCGGAAAGGGAGCGGTGGACCGCGGCCTCTTGCAGCCACTGGGGCCTTGTAGGTCGGTCAGGTACTCTCCGCTGCCACATTCTGGACTCTGTCCTCGCCGGGCGCACAGCGGGCAGGACGGGGGAGACCGGAGGCCAGGGGAGCTGCGTCCCACATCTCCCAGAACGCAACGCCAGCCTGCGGGAATGGCTCGAAGCGTTTTAGGGTTCGCGACCGGCTGCGCATTGCAATCACCCGGGGACCGTTTTAAAAATGCCGATTCCCCGACAGCCCCCAAGACGGGCAGACTTGGAATGCTCGCGGGATGGGACCTGAACATTTGTATTTTCTTTTCCTTTTTTTTTTTCCTTTTAAGAGACAGGGTGCCCCCTACGTTGCCCAGACTGGCCTAGAACTCCCGCCTCAGCCTCCTCAGGAGTCGAGAGACAGGCGCCGCCCCCACGCCCAGCTTATCTGTGTTCTTAAACGGTCCCTAAATGATTTCTAATGTACCACCAGGTTTATGAACCACTGCGATTCAGGACAAGTCCGAAGCCTTCCGGTTTTTAAGCCAAGATAATGAAAAGTATTGTTGTACCCTCCAGATTCTTGTGAAAGTGTCTTGTACAACTGGTGCCTGACAATCTTAAGCAATTCAGCTGTGTTTGCTGCCCAGTGGCTCTTAGTTGTGGCCTAGCAGGTTTCGTAGAAGCCTCTTTAACTAGTTTTTGGGAAGACAGCTCTACAGTTTCCAAGCTACCAAAATTGAATATTGACAACACTAACGCTAGTATTACAAATCGCATAAACACCAAAATGTTATCAGTGGTTATCTTTGAATGGTAGATTGCTAGCAATTTTTCGTATTTCTTTTTCCCGTAATAAACATATTATTCAATTTTCTCGAACCTTGAAATTATCATTTGATTTACGTTTATAACTAGCTCACTGCAGACTTAGTGCTTTCGAAAGTTTCTTCATTTCTGCCCTCTCACCTTTTCCAGTGATTTCCTTCTAATGGATTAGTTAAGTTTCTCTACTTAGCATTTATTCTAAAATGAAGAAGTTGATTTTTCTCTAGTGTTTATTCCAGTAGTAAATTAACAGGGATGGTTTGGGGGTTGACCAAAGTAATGAAGGAATATTTGGATAAGAGAGGGGGATCTTTTCTGACTAGTATGAAAAAAAATTAAGGAATAACTTGTGAATAAGGTGAAAAAGAGAATATGAGAGAAACTACTAAAATGGGAATAATTATAGATTGTAAGAGAATTTTTCTAAGATAAAAGGTTGAATTGGCTATTGTTGCTTTTAGAATTAAAGAAGACTATTCTGGGATTAACTCCGTACCAAAAATTGGATAAATGGTGGTATTTGTTGAAAATCAGGCTCTTCAAGCATTTTATTTTCCCACAACTCATTTTGTTCTTTTTTTTTCCACCTCAGATATGAAGCATCAACAAACGAATTGATTAATGAAGAGTTGGGAATAGCTTATCCAATCATTGATGGGATCCCTAATATGATACCACAGGCAGCTAGGATGACACGTCAAAGTAAGAAGCAAGAAGAAGTGGAGCAGCGCTAGTTCATAATTTAAAAAAATTAAAAAAACGCAACAGCCAACTTTTCTTAATACCATATACCTTTTAAAACACAGTGGCAGGTAATAAGTGGAAGAGAAGAATGTTTCTGTCTCTTCCTACGTTGACTGTTCTTATTCCACTGGTTTCTTTAGCAGGACTGTTCTACTCAGCCTCTGTGGAAGAAAACTTCCCACAGGGCTGCACTAGCACAGCCAGCCTTTGCTTTTACAGCCTGCTCTTGCCTATTACCATACCAGTGTATGTATTCTTCCACCTTTGGACTTGGATGGGTATTAAACTCTTCAGGCATAATTGATGCAACTAGAGTCAATATGCTGTATATATTAATGATAGCTCTTGGGCATCGATCTCTGAAAGCTCAAATGGATGGAATTTAGTTTGCGGGAAAGAGGCTTTGCTTTGCGCATATCAGGCTTAGGACTGTGGGAGGCTTAAGTTGCAGATGCTTCTTTTATTGTACTCTTGTTCTGCCCTTGTTTTTTGAAGGCTCTGACTTATAACTGCTGTATCAGAAGAAACATTTTGACAGTGTCTTGGTTGGAGATGAACATCCCTAATTGACATGTGATGACTATTTCTTATTCCATTCATCTAAGAGTCATTGAAATTTTGTTTTGCTTGTTTGTTTAGCTTCAAGGTCTTTGGTAAAGTCACATGTTAAGGATGACTGAAATAATTCCAAAGGAGTGATGTTGGAATAGTCCCTCTAAGGGAGAGAAATGCATTTGAACGAATGTGATATAAAACCACATAATCAAATAGAAACTTCATGTACTTACAAAAACTGAGTTTGTAAAATTACCTTCATTTCTTTGACATTAAATGCTTATATTAGCAATAAACATGTTGACACTTTCCTATAAAAAATAAACCAGTTTGCAGTAGTCGTTTGTTTGTTTGGTCACAGAAGTGTTAATGATACTAAGGGAAGTTGTAAAACTGCACTAAATGTAGTTGTGTTTAGAGAGGTACTTAATACCCAAAACAGAATCATTTCCTGGGAAAGTGAGGGGTGGGAAGACTTGCAAGTAGTGGATTGTACCCTGTTGAGCTTAGAGCCATATTTGAGCCACATTTCAGTTTATTTTCCCAGGATGCCGAATAACACCACTAAGGGCATGAGCATTGACACGTTAATGGCCCCTGATTTTCTAGAACTTTCAACAAGACTAATCAAGCATAGTACAATACTTCTGAAATATAGTGTGTTTCAGTAGTTAACCCAAAGAAACCTAAGAACTGAATACAAACTTTATTTTTATTGGAATCTTATGTTAACAGAAACCTTAAACAGTGATTCTTCTGCATCAAAAAATTAAAACATGTTAGATGTGTTTTCTTTTGAATTCAAGGTATACTGTAGTACAAACAACATGTTAAAATTACCCTATGGCAACATACAGATAACCTGAAAGACTACAGGTTCCCAGGTATTTCCTGAAGAGTTGTTCTTTTCAATTAACCCTAAATCTCACACTTAACCAAGTCAGGGAAAAGGAAACAATTCTGAAAAACAAGTACATACTATATCTCAAGAAGTCAATTTCAATTTCAGCATTTGGAAGTTGAGTGTTTTACTATTTCAGGAAACACTGACAAGAATGCCCTGGGGGGGTTTAGTATTTAACACCATCCCCTCACTAATAGAATTTATTTAGCAATCAGTTGTTACAGTATAAACATATACCAGGTACAATTATAAACACAGTGCTGTGTCTTCAATCGTATAACCCTAAAGAGTAGGTAATATTGGCACCATTTTACAGATAAGGAAACAAGCACAGAGAGATTAAGTGACTTACCCAAGGTAACATAGCTAATAATTGGATGGAAATGTAAACCATCTAGCCATCTGGCTTCAGTCTTAACTACCAAGCCATGTGCCACTTTATTTTGGGCTATTTGGTCCTTTCTATTTACAAGAAAAACAGAGAAATCAAAATGCTTAGTTTCTAATTCTTATTCAAGATTGGACTAGGTGACCACCCAATCCCCTCCTTTTTTTTTTTTTGAGACAGGGTCTTACTCTGTTGCCCAGGCTGGAGTGCAGTGGCATGGTACGATCATGGCTCACGGCAGCCTCCACCTCCTGAGTTCAAGTGATTCTCCCACCTCAGCCTCCCAAGTAGCTGGGACTACAGTCATGTGCCACCATGCCTGGCTAATTTTTTTTTTGTATTTTTTTGTAGAGATGGGGTTTCACCATGTTGTCCAGGCTGGTCTCAACTCCTGGGCTCAAGCGATCCACCCGCCTCGGCCTCCCAAAGTGCTGGGATTACAGGAGTGAGCCACCGCACCCAGCCAGTACCCTTCTTATTGCTTAAGGCACCGTATGCTTTATTCTAGCACTTAACCTTGTGCTGCAATTGTCTGGTTTTTGTCTCCTGTCTATACAGTAAATGCTGAACATTTTAAATCTAATGTTTAGCACAGAGCAGGCACTAAGTGCCTCCTGAGTGAACACATGGCTCTGAGAAGCCTTATAACTTCAGCCAGTTACTTAGCATTCTGGGCCTCATTTTTAGGGCTAAAAAGTCCTTACCCTTGTTTCATAAAATGGTGAGGATGAAATAAAATTTTACCTGCGAGGGTACTTTGTAAAGAACTAAGTGATACTTCTAGAGACCACGTGAGGAACTTTGTGGACCCATTCACCAGGGAAACAAGCCTAACTAGTGAAAATTATAAACAAAACAACCATTTAAATGGTCTGGAAATTGTCCTAAAGGCATACAGCTCATTAAATGAAGAAACATTCAAGGAAACCTACTGAAACTTAATAAGAACAGCAAGTTTTTGTCATCTGACCCACCAACCACTTGTTTTCTGCTCCCTCTGTTTGGCGATGGCCACTCCAGGAGAGTGTAATCAAGAACACGGGGCTCGCTCTTCCCCCAGCTCCTAGTTGAGGGTTATGGTACCTCCTCGGAGGCATAGGCCATCAGCATAGTAAAGGTAATTATGTAATTATAAAAGACAGTATAAATGCGTGTTTTGTCATTCTTATTTATAGGGCAATTATATAAAAAAACCATGTTTATGCAAGATGCATTGTATTTGGGAGCCTGTAACATATATAACATATTTAGCATTAACATCACAAAGGAAATGGAGGTAAGCAAAGCTGTATTTGCAGTATGAAAATGATACCAGATAGTAACTTGAATTCATAAAAATACATGAAGAGAACCATAAGAGATAAATAATGTAATGAATGCTATAAATATATACTTGCTGTCCTTTTCTCAGTTTAAGATACATCAGATTATATAAAATAATTATAACTAAGTATTGAGTTTGTAACATACAGATGTGATTACATAACAATAGCACAGCAAGAGGAAAAAAGGAATTGAGCACTTGATATGTGGCTAGATAAAAGTAATGCTTCTATATCTTATCGACACTTTTTTGTTGTTGCTGTTGTTTGAGACAGAGTCTCACTCTCACCCAGGCTGGAGTGCAGTGGCACGATCTCTGCTCGCTGCAACCTCCGCCTCCTGGGTTCAAGTGATTCTCCTGTCTCAGCCTCCCCAGTAGCTGGGATTACAGGGGTGCACCACCATGCCTGGCTAATTTTTGTGTTTTTAGTAGAGACGAGGTTTCACCATGTTGGCCAGGCTGGTCCTGAACTCCTGATCTCAAGTGATCCACCCTCCTCTGCCTCCCAAAGTGCTAGAATTACAGGAGTGAGCCACCATGCCCAGCCTCTTATTGACACTTTTATGAACAGATCAGCAGTTTTAAAAGACCTCTTAAGCCTTCATACACTGCTGGTGAGAATATAAAATGTTGCAGCTTCTTTGGAAAACAGCAAGACCACAAAAGGTCAAATGTAGAGTTGCCACATGACGCAGCAATTTTACTCCCAGGTATATACTCAAGAGAAGTGAGAACTTAAGTATTCACGACAGCTTGTATGCAAATGTTCATAGCAGCATCATTTAGGATAGCCAAAAAGTAGAAACAACCCAAACGTCCATAAACTGATGAATAGATAGATAAAATGTGATATGAATATAATGAAATAATATTTGGCAATATAAAGTGATAAAGTACTGATATATGCTAGACTATGGATGAACCTTGCAAACATCATGCTAAGTCATAGAAGCCAGTTACGAAAGGTCACATAGTCTAATTTCATTTATTTGAAATGTCCATAATAGTCAATCTCTACAGACAGACAGTAGATTAGTAGCTGCATAGAGCTGGAGAAGAAGGGGGAGATTGTGCAGTTTTGGCTAAAGGGTACAAGGTTTCTCTTTGGGGTGATAAAAATGTTCTAAAATGGACTATGGTGGCAATTTGGGAGGCCAAGCTGGGAGGATCACTTGAGCCCGGGAGTTCGAGACCAGCCTGGGCAACATAGGGAGACCCTGTCTCTACAAAAAACTAAAAATCTAAAAAAAAAAAAAATTAGCTGGGCATGGTGGTATGTGCCTGTGGTCCCAGCTACTCAGGAGGCTGAGGTGGGAGAATCCAGCCCAGGAGGTCAAGGATGTGGTGAGCCATGATCATGCCACTGCACTCCAGCCTGGGCAACCGAGCAAGACCCTGTCTCAAAAAAAAAAACAAGAAAAACCCCAAACAGAAAAATTGACTATGGTGATGCTTGCACAATTCTGTGAAGATACTAAAAACCATTGAGTTGTACACTATATATGGCTGAGTTACATGCTATGTGAATTATATCTCAATAAAGTTGTTAGAGGAAAATTAAAAAAGCAGTATCTCAGTGTCCAGCCTAAGGCTCAGTGGTTCCAGGTCACTTGCTGGAGGTCAGATGCTGGTTAGAGGCATGGCCAAAAGTGAATGCAGGTCTTACGCCTTCTAAATTTTGTCCACCCATTGTGCTACTTCTAGTGACCCTATGAAATATGACACCCTGTATTGGGAATTCAACAGGTTTCTAGTGTTCCTTCCCAAGCTTCTCACTAGCAAATCATCCTGGCTTCATATCTGTTCACAGGGACACAAGCTGCCCATTACGTACCTCATGCTGCACGCCATGGCTTTGACCCCAACACTTCCATTTGTTACACTGTAAACCCACCATGAGGAACACTGCCTTATTCCTACATTAATGAAACTCTTCCCCACTCCTCCTCCTTCTCAATAATCCGCTGACTTCACAATGCCAGGGGACCTACTGCTTCCTTAGAGACTCTTAACAAGATTCTCTTTTTAAGTGTCCTCAGCTGCATCACTGACAAATCATCTTTAACCACGTTAATGAGATCCTTCCCACCAGCTCTAAATGAGAAATTCCCATCCTGAGGGAGCAAAACCTGGCCTATTGTGACCTACTGTCCTTCTTTATTTGCAGCCAATCCTGCAAAGAAGGGGATTTTTTTTTTTTTTTTTTTTTTTTTTTTTTTTTTTGAGACGTAGTCTCGCTCTGTCGCCCAGGCTGGAGTTCAGCGGCGCAATCTCGGCTCACTGCAAGCTCTGCCTCCTGGGTTCACGCCATTCTCCTTCCTCAGCCTCCTGAGTAGCTGGGACTACAGGCGCCCGCCACCACGCCCGGCCAATTTTTTGTATTTTTTAGTAAAGATGGAGTTTCACCGTGTTAGGCAGGATGGTCTCAATCTCCTGACCTTGTGATCCGCCCGCCTTGGCCTCGCAAAGTGCTGGGATTACAGGCGTGTATTTTTAGTAGAGACGGGGTTTCACCGTGTTAGCCAGGATGGTCTAGATCTCCTGACCTCGTGATCCGCCCGCCTCGGCCTCCCAAAGTGCTGGGATTACAGGCGTGAGCCACCGTGCCCGGCCCAAAGAAGGGGATTTTAAGGAGGCCCCTCTGAACTTGAGACTGCATCTGTAAGATGAAAATTATGATACCTACTTCCAGACCAAGGGAGAGTTTTAAATTAGGTAGAAAATGTAAAACTATCTAGAAGAGCCAAGAGCCACGGTAGATTCTCCCTACTGTGTGTAGTGGTGGAGAAAGCCTGTCCACTATTCCAAGTTTTGTCCCTCTTAGTGAAATGCTCCATTTGGAAGCGAGTGTTGTCTTCCGCATTTGCCACTAGATGGCACTTTTGGTTAACTCATGGGACCACTGGCAATTGATCCCTCAGAAGGAAGCAGAAAGACAAGTGCACTGCTGAAATGCAGAGCTAGGTAGCATCCAGCAGAATGCCATGACAGCCGACGTGAATCCTGAAAAATGAATAGGAATAACCAAGACAGAGGAGGAGGCAGAATTGAAGCGAGGAGGTGAGGAACAGGGAGAGATAGTGGTGCAATGGGAAGAGGGTTCCAGGCAAAAGAAAAAGCATGTGTGAAAACACAGAATAAGAGACTGGGCCCATTCAAGAAACTGAAATAGAATCATGGGCTGCTTAATGATGTTTCCAGTAACAACAGACCACATATACAACGGTAGTCCCATAAGATTATATTAGGAGCTAAAAATTCCTGTTGCCTAGTAGCGTCATAGCTGTCATAATGTTGTAAAGGAATTGCTTTATTTTTAAAATAAATTTAGTGTAGCCTAAGAGTACAGTGTTTATAAAGTCTACAGTGGTGTAATGTCCTAAGCCTTCACATTCATTCACCACTTACTCACTGACTTAGAGCCACTTCCAGTCCTGCAAACTCCATTCATGGTAAGTACCATTTTTTATCTTTTATATCATATTTTTACTGTACCTTTTCTATTTTTAGATATACAAATATTGACCATTGTGTTACAATTGCCTACAGTGTTCAGAACAGTACACATGCTGTACAGGTTTGTAGCATTGTGCAAACATCACAGAGTGTACTTACAAACACAGCGCGTAAGTATACTCTGTGATGTTTGCACAATAAGAAAATCGCCCAAACAGTGGGAGATGAGGCTGGAACTGTACACAGGGCACATCAAGAGGGATTCGGGAGCTGTAATAATAGTCAGTGTCAGTGAAATCGGAATTTATTACCTGACTTTTAAATTGTTTGGATTTGTGCAGCTGATAAACACTATGGCTCTTTTTCCCATAAAAAAGGAAAAAGAAAAAAAAGCACGTGCAGCATTCCAGAGGGTTTGTATGTTACAGATCCCTGCTGTGGCAAGTGTTCATACTTACAGTACAGTAAACACTTGTCACATGTAGATATTGAGTACTAGAAATGTGACTAATGTGACTGAGAATCTTTTACATTTATTGAATTTTTATTAAAGAGCCAATATAGGATGGCACAGTTCTAGACTGTTTTTCCCACTGCTGCCAATGAATGTGTTTACTTTTCAAAATTCTTCAAAGACAAAGCCTTACCTACAGAGGAGTCCAACTTATTGGATAGTGCAGATACAGATTTCCAGCTTCACAGGAAGCTCTGTTGGGCAGTGTTGGTCTAGATACAAGGAGAATGTTGAGAGGCTAATAAAGTGATGGGACAAGAGATTTTTTTTTTTTTTTTTTTTGAGACTGAGTCTTGCTCTCTCGCCCAGGCTGGAGTGCAATGGCACAATCTCAGCTCACTGCAACCTCCACCTCTCGAGTTCAAGCAATTCTCCTGCCTCAGCCTCCCGAGTAGCTGGGATTACAGGCACCTGCCACCGTACCCAGCTAATTATTGTATTTTTGGTAGACAGGGTTTCACCATGTTGGCCACGCTGGTCTCGAACTCCTGACCTCGGGTGACCCACCTGCCTCGACCTCCCAAAGTGCTGGGATTACAGGTGTGAGCCACTGCACCCAGCCAGTAGATGATGATCTTGAGCTTAGTGCACTGGCAGTAGTGGGGTTACAGAGATGTTAAAACTAAAATTATTAGAACTTGACTTGCATGTGGAATGTGGTAAAAGAGAGGGAGAAATGGAAGATAACTGTAGGCTTCTTCTTGAAGATATTGGTGGGATCACTCCAAGCTGTGAAATATGGAAAAACATTTTTGGAATAAAAAATGACAACTTTCTCCTTGCAAATGTTCAGATTACAGAGCCAAGGGGCATGCAGGTAGTGACATAGACTATATAGAAAAATGGCTATCGTGCTGGAATATATGAATTCCTTTAGGTCAGAGGTATAGCTCCAGGTATCACAGGTAGACCTCATCTATCAGCTTAAAGAGGAGACACGTTAGCCGCGGGCCCAGTAATAACTGAAGCCAGAGACTTGATCAGGAGTCCAGGGGTTGGGGGTGTAAGGATACAAAGGAAATGGAAAATAAGTCAAGAAAAGGAGAGCAACAGTCTCGTTTCAAGGAGAAAGTAGTCAACAGTTTCAAATGCAGTAGAAATGATTTAAGATGGAAATAACAAGTTTCTGTTGATTTTTACAACAAAAAAAGTCATCTGTGACATTTACTGGAGCAGTCTGAGTGGGAGAAGTGGGGGACTGGAGGGCAGATCACAGTGTCATGGAGAGATTAAGGCAGGAATTTCCTAATTGCAGATTTTTAGGAAAAAGAACAGGAAGAAGGAAAAGGGGGATTATATAATGAAGAGGAAAATTCTAAAATGTATTATCTTAATGGCAGAAATGTGGATATGGAAGAGCCTGTGGTGAAGCAATTGAAGATTAGAAGATACAGGAAAGCTGGCTGGGCATAGTGGCTCACGCCTGTAATCCCAGCACTTTGGGAGGCCAAGGTTGGTGGATCACCTGAGGCCAGGAGTTGAGACCAGCTTGGGCAACATGGCCAAACACTGTCTCTACCAAAAATATAAAAATTAGCTGGGTGTGGTGTGCATGCCTGTAATTCCAGCTACTTGGGAGGCTGAGGCATGAGAATCGCTTGAACCCAGGAAGCAGAGGTTGTGGGGAGGCAGAGGTTGTGGTGAGCCAGCATCGCACTACTGCATTCCAGCCTGGGCAATAGAGCGAGGCTCTGTCTCAAAAAAAAAAAAACAAAAACAAAAAAACCAAAACAAAACAAAAAAACAAAGATATAGGAAAGCATGGAGAAATGATGGAGGTCTTGGAGGCGGAAAGGAATGCAATCAGACACCTCTCCTCAGAGACAGGGAGGGAGAAAGAAACAAAGGGTGATAGAAGTGGGTTTATAGATGGCTAACAAGTAGGAAATTCCAGGCCTGGCGCGGTGGCTCACCCCTGTAATCCCAGCACTTTGGGAGGCCAAGGTGGGTGGATCACGAGGTCTGGAGATCAAGACCACCCTGGCTAACACGGTGAAACCCCATCTCTACTAAAAATAAAAAAAATTAGCCGGGCGTGGTGGCACGTGCCTGTAGTCCCAGCTACTCGGGAGGCTGAGGCAGGAGAATCGCTTGAACCCAGGAGGCAGAGGTTGCAGTGAGCTGAGATCGCGCCACTGCATTCCAGCCTGGGCAACGGAGTGAAACTCCATCTAAAAAAAAAAAAAAGAGTAGGAAATTCCAGAGGTAGACCCCACTCTATCAAGTTAGGTCTAATGGGTGGACATCACACACCAGGTACAACTATTGCTCTTTCTTCTATAACAAACATAATTTAGCACACATTTAAAAATATATATTAAATAAGATAGATTTTATTTTATCCCATTTTCTCTCTGCTTGAGAATATAAATACCACTTCATAACAGAGGAAAACATTTACTCACTGGTGTTGAATTTGTATCTTGTCTTATTATTAA
Source organism: Homo sapiens (assembly GCF_000001405.40). NCBI lineage: Eukaryota > Metazoa > Chordata > Mammalia > Primates > Hominidae > Homo > Homo sapiens. Next base: position 88,512,298 of record NC_000004.12, on the reverse strand, counting down.
TTTGTTTTATTGTGTTAGCAAATGAAAGACACTGTTCATTTTCTACCTATTGTGAGCTATCCTTCAAATACTTTCAGGTTGCATGTTTTATAGGTTGGCCTTGAATATCTTATTTTATTAATCATAATTGGACTCTTGTACCCTCTTAACAGACCATTGTCTTTAACCAGTTTCAAAAACTTGTTCCTCTCTTGTTTCTCCTGCGCCGTAAGCATCTCTTACAAAACTATGAGCCAAGGTAACTCCTTAAAAAGTCATCCTTGTGACTTAGGGACGGAGGCAAATTATCTTTCATCTCAAAGTTGCCCTAAATTCTGTCCCCAGGCAAACAGCTTGCCATCTTGGCACACACACACACACACACACACACACAAAATGAAATACCTGTTCATTTATGTACTCAAAAAGTGTACAGTGACAGATTTCCCAAGGCATATTAGAATTTTATAGTTGCTGCTTGTACTAGAACTGTTTCTTTAGAATAGCTCCTCAATTTGTTTCTCCATCGGATGCAATTCTAGGGGAACTGCCAATCATCTTAGCCTTTCCTGGCCATGGAATGGGTATGAGACTCAAGGTAGACAAATAAGAAAGATCATCTCTCTTTGGAATTTAAAAACAGCTTTATTGAGATATGAGGCATACAATAAATTACACACATTTAAAGTGTGTAATTCGACAAATTCTGGGATATGTATATACCCGTGAAACCATTCTCACCATTGAAATAATGAACATATCCATCATCCCCCAAAGCTTCCTTGTGCCATTCTGTAATCCTTCCCTCCTGTCCCTCCTCACCCCCATCCCATTTCCCAGGCAACCACTGATCTGCTTTCTGTCACTATACTTTACCTTGCATTGTCTGGCATTTTATATAAATGAATCATACAGGATATAATCATTAACTTCCTTCACCCAGTATAATTATTTTGAGATTCCTGCATGTTGTTGTGTCAACAGTCCATTCCTTTTTATTGCTGAATATTATTCTATAGTATGGACAGACCACGATTTATTTATGTATTCACCTATTGATGGACATTTGAGTTGTTTTCCACTTCTGGCTATTATAAATAAAGCTGCTATGAACATTTGTATGTAATCCTTGCATGGACATACGCTTTTATTTCTCTTGGGTAAATTCCTAAGAGTAGAATAGCAGGATCATATGGTAGATACTTCTTTTTAAGAAACTGCCTAACAGTTTTCCAAAGTGGTCAAACCATTTAAATTCCCACCAACTGTATATAAGAGTTCTAGTTCTTCCACATTCTTATCAACACTTGGTACGTCTATTTAATTTTAGCCATGGTAATAGGGGTGATGTGGTACCTTACTTGGGTTTTAATTTGCAGTTCTATAATGACACGTTGTTAAGCTTATTTGCCATTGATATATCTTGTGTCTGTTCAAATCTTTGCCCATTTTAAAATTGTGTCTTCATTATTGAATTTTGAGAGTTCTTTACATATTGTGGGTAGGATACAAGTCTGTCTTTGTCCATTTTGTGCCGCTATAACAGAATACCTGAGACTGTGTAATTTAAAGAACAGGAATTTATCTCACAGTCTGGTGGCTGGGAAGCCAAGATCAAGACATCAGCAGATTTATTCTCTGGTTCAAGCTGGCACCCTTGTTGCTGTGTCTTCAGAGTAGGAGAATTGTGTTCCTCATGTGGCTGATTGTTGCAAGACTCCTTACTTGGAGTCAGAGCAATAGTAGGTAATACAGTTCTATGTAAAGAATAAAGGAGGAAGCAAAAAGGTTCCAGTCAGTTGAAAAGATTCCCTTTAAAAAGACTCCTCAGGAGTTTTGTGTGGGGCTGTGTCTCTGTCCACCCAAAGTCCCCTGGATCACCCGGAGAGGGATTGGGAGCTGGAGCAGTGAGCAGAATGAATACCTCACATGACCAGAGTGGCTACTCCAGTAATAGAGAACCCCTTTTGAGATGTAGTAATGCATGGAAGGACTTGGAGCTTGCTATTGGTGGAGTTCCCTGGGCCAAACAGCAAATTAAAGATAACTTGTGAGAAGTCAAAACTCAGATTCAGAGTTGTATAAGCTGTCACCTAGAATGCCTTACGAACTGTGAGGTGGCTGTATGAACAGGTAGACCTCATCTATCAGCTTAAAGAGGAGACACTTCAGCCACAGGCCCAGCAGCTCTACTGGTTATTGGGCCAGTTCAATGGTCTTATTCATTAACGGAAGTGCACCCAAAACAAAGATCTAGCCAAGTCTCTGTGTGCCTGGAGAGACTGGGCAGTTTGACCCTTAAGTTTGAAGATTCAACTGTCCTGCTGTTTGAAGCAGACACAACTGCTCTGCATGACTATCACCACATTTGGGTTTCTCAAGACCATTCAAATTCCTAAACACTTCATGCCTCATGCTAGCTTATCAAGTATCAGGCCCTTCCTGGAGAAGAGAGGCTATATCCTAATGCCAGAGCAGAAGTCAGCATCCAGCATCACAGATGTCCCTCTCAGGGAATGGCTCCTTGGAAGCAACCATACCAGTGGTCTTCAGGAACAACCCCCCACGACTGGCTCACCCAAAAGCAGACGTTGGAGAATAGACTTCTTCCAGAGCCTGCAGTTTCTTCAGTAATGTCTCAGGCAACCTAAAGGGCTTTGAAAACTTGCTCCTCAAGAGTCAGCAACAAGAAGTTCCAGAAAAACCAAGTTATCCAAAGTGACAGCCATTTTACTACCAGTTCTTTCTCCATTTAATTGAAAAGGTGGAAGATCTAGAGCTTTCTGATCAAGGTGAGATGATCTATCTAGTGGCTGGTGATTCCCCAGGAATCCTGTAAGTTGGAGAAGCCTGAGAATGGCAGTTATGAAACCAGTGAGAAGTTTAAATTCTTGTTCCATTCCTACAATGTGAATGATTGGCTTGTCAAAACCAACTCCTATATCAACTGTTGGGTCAACCAGCCCAATAGTGTAGAGATTTTGAAAAACCTGGGCAATGTGAAGTGCCTGAATGACTACTTGGAAGCCAAGAAACTATTTTCTACCCTCAGCATCGTTTCTGAGGATTGACTTGTCCAGAACCATCAGGACCCATATAAAGTAGAGGACATATGCACAGCCAATGAGCCCTGCAGAAGTTTTGCAGAGTGTATGATGAGAATTGAGAAGGAAGCTCTGTGTAAGTGGCTTCTAAAGAAAGATAGACAAAATAATGGGATGCCTGAGGAAACCAAACCTGAGCCTGAGAAGCATCAAGATTCCCTGAATATGTGGTCCTGTCCTTCAAGAAAAGAACAAGCTAAGGCATCAAAGGCAACGGCTCCTTCTAGAATTGCTGATTCAAGTCATAAACAACAGTCCCTTGTCAGAGTGGCTAATCCAGCCCCCATATAAGGAAGGAATTCCCAAGGAAGTGCCTAGTACTGAGGACAGGGCTGGCCAACAAAAGCTTAAAAGCCCCACAATCACTTCCTGGTGTCCCTTTAATACAGCTGACTGGATCCTGCCAGGAAAGAAGATGGGCACCCTCAGCCAGTGATCCTCTGGAGAAGACAAGTGGCTACTTCGGAAGAAGGGCCAGGAAGTATTACTTAATCCACCCCTACAGGAGGAACATAACTTCCCCCAAGACCATGATGGCTACCCTACATTTTGTGATCTCTTTGCCTGTATGAAGCTTAAAATCGAGAAAGAGAAGTGATTATATCAAACTCCTCTACAGATGTGAAGGAACAGACAAGAGTTCAGCAGCTTTTCTGCAGATTATTACACATCCATGAGCTAAGTGACTGTGACTTGCCAAATAATTGTGTTTCTGGGTCCGACCAGTTAGCTTAGTCCCTTTCCTGCCTAAATTTGAACTAGTGAAGAAAAATACATCATCGGATTATGAGTTACTATTTAAACAAAAAATGCTGAGGTGACTCAGTTCTTTCCTTTTTACAGAAGTATTAATTCACCCCACACTAGAAATGTAGCACCTTGGTGGAGTTTTTCACAAGCCTCCCACACTCCTTAGATTGGGTTATTACTAAAAGTACATTAAAACACTGTAGTTTTAAAAAGAAGTATTTCTGTAATTGAAGTGTATTGTATTCTAAAGCTAGTAAACTTCCCTAACTTTTAATTGTTCTTTAGCTGCTTCTCTTGCTGTTTTCTTCTATTAGAGGCTGAAATAATTTTTCTCTTCTATTAATATATATTTTGCACAAAAAATTAATCCTGCCATTAGTGATTACCAAAACATGTACTAATAATCTTGGTAATTTTTGACACTAATTACCAAACATTTTAGCCTACATATTAGTTTTACATCATTTTTCTTCTTCACTTGAAAGAAACTGAGCTACTGCAATGTTTTTCTTTATTCCTTTTTCTAAATCAAACTTGTCCAACCCATGGCCCACAGGCCCCAGGATGGCTTTGAATGTAGCCCAACACAAATTTGTAAATTTTCTTAAAACATTATGAGATTTTTTTTTTTAGCTCATCAACTATTATTAGTGTATTTTATGTGTGGCCCAAGACAATTCTTCTTCTTCCCATGTGGCCCAGGGAAGCCAAAAGATTGGACATCCCTGCTTTAAATGTTATTAGAGTATCCAGTATTTAGTATCCTTCTAAAAGTATCCCTCTTTTAGAAGGGCTCTGTATTAAGACCATTTTCAAGGTAGTTTTAGACTCTTTTCAAAATATTCTATAGATCTACATAGGGTTTAAAAGAGCCCCAGTGCTGACTAAGAGCAAATAGGTAAGACACGTTAGAAATGTAGTGTAGTACTTGAACCACTCACTATCCTAGGGATTACTGGTGTATCCTCTGTAAATGGAAGCTGAACTTGACCCCTGGTGCTTTTAACTAGGGATAAAGTTGTGCTCTCACTGTAGGCACAGCATTTCTGTACCTCCAAAAGTACAATGCAGCAACATTTTAGTAAACAGGCTGCTTACAACACTTGTACCTTGGGGTGTTCATTGAAGCTTTATGAAAACCGATGTTTTCTCAGTATCTTTAAACTCATGTCCATGCTTTAAAAAGTCTCCAGGAGAGAAATGGGGTTTATAATGTTTTAAAATTCTCTAAGATATCTTCACCGCTTTCCAGACTTTGAAACTATGAAGTTTCTCAAATGCCTATGTTATTGGAAATACTTTTGGGAAAATGTCATGGTCCCACAATGTCATTGTCATACAGCTTTACTAAAGTTCTTTGAACCACAGCTGAAAAGAGCTTTGTATTATTCCTTAAGCCCCACCCAGATTATCATTTAGAACTATTATAATAATAAAGATGACGGGTAAAAAAAACTTAAGGACGGCTGGACACAGTGGCTCACGCCTGTAAGCCCAGCACTTTGGGAGGCTAAGGCCGGCGCATGACCTGAGGTGGGAAGTTTGAGACCAGCCTGACCAACATGGAGAAACTCTGTCTCTACTAAAAATACAAAATTAGCTGGGCGTGGGGGTGCATGCCTGTAATCCCAGCTACTTGGGAGGCTGAGGTAGGAGAGTCACTTGAACCCAGGAGGTGGAGGTTGCGATGAGCCGAGACAGCGCCATTGCACTCCAGCCTGGGCAACAAGAGTGAAACTGTCTCAAAAAAAAGAAAAAAGAAAAAAAAAAACCTACGGAGTCTTTCCAGTATCTTCAGTTGCAGCTAACTTTGTAGTTTCTTTTTGGGGCCTAACACACTGTATTTTACATTATCAAAGTGTAATTTACATTTATCACTATGTTAATGAGTATGTACAACATTCTTTTGCTTGGATGCATTTTGTACCTAACTCCATTAAAAGCATAACAGCATTTAAATAAAAAAGCTTCCTCAGAAGCTTCTCCCAATAACTGTCACCACTGCCACCTGTCCCTACCTTGAAGAGAGGCTGGGAAATGTATGATTTTAAGACTGAGAACAATGCCACTCCTACCATATAGGGAATCTGTACTGAAAGAAGGGGAGAACAGATATTGGGTAGATAATTACAAGTTTTTTAAAAAAACTTCTAAGGTAAAGAGTATCCCTTCAGGCCAAGTCATGCAAACATTGTGTGAGAGACACAGCTTAATCTATATTATAATTGATATATCTTACATGCAATGATAGCAATTCCAAAAGAGCTGGTAAACACATTGAATAGTGAATAAGACTTTTATGTTAATTTTTCGGTTATTTTATTTTTGAAAAATATTTCCCAAAAGAGGTAAGGAATATGATGTAGGCATAGGGGTATCCAAGGGAGAGAATACAGTCACGGGTTCTAACCGGCCAGTAAACCCTCTTCTTCATCCCTCTTTCCTGCTTATCACTAGAGACAGAAATGAAAAACCATGGCTTCAGGCTGCTAAAAGCCTAAAACAAAACAAAGTAGAGAAACAACAACAACAACAACAACAACAACGATAACAACAACAAAATAAGGCTGTTGGACAAGCAAGCTGGTCAGCCAAATCCTCTGTTGTTGTTGATGGCTTCTTGAAGCGCTTCTTCAACTGTTTCCATTGTAGAATATTTAGGGAGGAAGAGGACACTGAAACATGTCAGTGCTCTTATAGGGTCTCTTTCATTCCAACTTTCAGGACAGCAAAATGTTATTTTCATATTATTTAAATCTTTCATTTGTAGTCTGTCAGTTCCTGTAAGAAATACTAAAAAGAAGAATAAAATTAGGCAATCTGTTTTACATGGAGACCAAAATCTCTTTACAGAGAAAAAAATCTATTTATTCACAAAACTTCACTGGAGCCCATGTGCAGTGTCCTACATTTGACAGTGCATTGGGGATTGTATTCGAACAATGTCTGACACATAGTCACTGTCCTCAAGCAGCTTAAAGTCTGACTGGGAATATTAGATTCTTGTGAAGAAAAAGACACATAATAGCAAGAGAAAAGCTGTAAGGTATAAGACAGCCCGAAGAGGTGTCATGGAGTTAAGTGCCTCCTGAGTCAATGCTATGCTTGAGAATAAGGAGAGAGAGCCAGGCTGGGATGACTGAGGGGATTTCCAAGAGTTCAGAATTATGCCGGACCTTTAAGGATGGAAAGGTTTAGAAAGGCAACAAGGAGGTAGGTGAGGTTCAAGGCAGGAGAAGGAACTTCACAGAAAGGCCTGGAGGTGGGAAGGTGCAAGGTGAGCTCAGGAGTGTTCAGACAATGGGATTATTTGGTTGGGACAAAAATTTCCTCTAGGAGTTAAGACTGGAAAGGTAGGTTGGGCTTCTATTAAGTCTGAATATCTTCTAACATACATGTTATCCACAAAAATAAAAATAGAAGATAAATATTTCTCAAAAGTAAGGAAATAGAAAATGAGAAAGTCATTAAGCCTAAAGATACAAATAAAATAGCTGTGTACAGTAATAGCAAATATAGTATTAATAATATAGGAACAGTAAAAATTAGCCAAATAAAATATTTTAGTTAATCCCAAAAAGGCTGAATAAGTGAATGATGACAGGGCTACAGAAAGAAGGCTTGATATTTAGCTTGGATGAAGAAACGAAAACTTTAAAAGCAATAAGAAGGGATGAAATCACAGGGGAAAAGATTGCTTATAGATATTAACATTTGTTTTTTGATGTTGGGACACAGAGGATGTTCAGTTGGACTAGGCGTAGCTCTGACACTATGATCTGTTGCAAATGGTACTTATCATAAAGGAAATTTTTATCCCATTAAAAAGACATACGATTACAGATCTATTCCTTGATATAATACTTACCAAGGAATTTTTTCTTTTCTTCCAGAGTCAATTTGTGGAAAGCCTTCCAAAACATCACTATGGTGGGATGTGAACTGTTATATCCTGGTTCATAACGTGCATTCTAGAGAAAATACAAAAAAAAGTTATTGAGGAAATAGGAAGGAAAACTGAATTTAATCAACTTAGACTTGATGATGTACCTTTTCAAATGTTTTCCAATCATAATCTGTATTTCCAACAATCACATCCTTCAGTTCTTCGGGGTGGAATAATTTGATAATGTCTTCGTCGCACATTTTATAAAATCCTCTCCGAAATTCTTCATAAACCGCCTTTACAGAGTCGTTGAAAATGTAATTGATATACTTAGAAACATAGTCTCTCCTTTAATAAAACAAAATGTTATTTCCACTTACTGCAATATCCTGAACAAAATGGTGAGGGGCTAAAAATAAAAGCTAGAATACCTAACAGTTATTGAGTACCTACCATGTGCCATGGACTGTCATAGTTACTAGAGATTATCTAATGTAATTTTTTTTTTTTTTTGAGACGGAGTCTCGCACTGTCACCTGGGCTGGAATGCAGTGGTGCGATCTTAGCTTATTGCAACCTCCACCTCCTGGGTTCAAGAGATTCTCCTGCCTTAGCCTCCCAAGTAGCTGGGATTACACGTGCCTGCCACCATGCCCAGCTAATTTTTTTGTATTTTTAGTAGAGATGGGGTTTTACCATGTTGGCCAGGCTGCTCTCAAACTCCTGACCTTGTGATTTGCCTGCCTCGGCCTCCCAAAGTGCTGGGATTACAGACGTTAGCCACCGCACCTGGCCCTAATGTAATTTTTATAACAACTCCATCATATGCTGCTTATAACATATATAACTTAAATGTGAAAACACAGATTAAAGTCAAAGAAGGGAAAAAGATACACTATGCAAACATCAACCAAAATGAATGTGGTGTAACTATACTAAAATCAGACAAACAAGACAAGGATAGAAAAGTACATTTACTAATGACAACCGAGTCATATACCAGGAAGGTAAAACAATTCAAAAATCTGTTATGTGCTTAGTAATAACGAAACTTAAAGAAACACTCATATCCACATGTATAGTATAGATGCTAATATACCTCTCCTAGTAACTAACAGAAAAGCAGACAAAAAAATTTTTAAGGACAGAGAAGATTCAAATACAATAAATGATCCAAGAAACCTATTTAGAATATTGCAACAAGATCTCTACATAGAAAACTACCTAACATTTTTTCAAGAATGACAAAAGACGATTTAAACAAATGGAGATTCTGTATTCATGGATTAAAGCCTCATTATTTTAAGATGTCAATTTTTTCAAAAAATTGATCTATAGGTTCAGTATAATCAGTTTCAAAAATTGAAAAAATAAAACCTGATCCATACCTTGCATCTTACTAAAAAATCAATTAAAGTGGATCATAGATCTAAATGTGAGAAATAAAATGATAAGCTTCTAGAAGAAAATACAGGGGAATATATTCATAGCCCTAGGATAGGGAAGTATTCATAAAATAGAAAACAGAAAAACACTATGCATTAAGGAAAATATTGATAAAGTAGACTACATTACAATTACAAATTTTGGTTAATCAAAAGACACATTTAAAAAGTGAAAAGACAAGCCACAGTATGTAAGAAGATATCTGCAGTACATATAACCAACAAAAGACTTGCATCTAGAACTCTCATAAACTGACAAGAAAAAAAAAAGCAACAGAAAAATAGACTAAAGATGAGGAATAATTATTTCTGAAAAGAGGATATCCAAACAGCCAATAAGCATATAAAGTGCTTAACATTAGTAATCAGAGAAATGCAAATTAAAACCACAATGGAATACTACTATATACCCACCAGAATGGCTAATTTAAAAAAGACTAGTAATACTATTAGAGTGGATATAGAGCAATTAGAACTGTCGTACCCTACTGATGAAAGTGTGCCTCCATTTTTTATGTTTGCTTACTAACAGCTTTCAAGTCCCACTCCTCCTTTTTCCCCTTTCGCCTCCAAATCTGCACAACACAGGCTCACTCCCTGGGCACCCACTGATGGCTGCGTGGCTTAAATTTCCCCACGCATGCTCTGGGTTGCATGAGAACCCTGACCCTGGCCCCACGGAACCACCATAAAAACTAAAGCCACCTGCCTCTCTCTTCACTTAAGCCAAACAGATCAGCTTGGATGCCTGTGCAGCTCTCCCCAAAAAGCCCCATTATGTACTAAACATTTTCATACTCTCTGGCTTACATATGGCATCATCCATATCAATATCCAAATGAATTTCAGGTAGGAGCATTGATTCTGCCTGCATGGAGCAAGGGGCAACCACAAGGCACCAAGCACTTCTCCCAGTTACATACCAACAGAAATGCCTGCACATAAACAAAACACATGTACAAGAATGTTCACAAGAGCATTATTCATAATAGTCCAAAACTTGAAATACACTATGTCGGTCAAAAATACTACAGATAGGCCGGGCGCAGTGGCTCACGCCTGTAATCCCAGCACTTTGGGAGGCCAAGGTGGGTGGATCATGAGGTCAGGAGATGGAGACCATCCTGGCTAACACGGTGAAACCCTGTCTCTACTAAAAATACAAAAAATTAGTTGGGCGTGGTGGCGGGCGCCTGTAGTCCCAGCTACTCAGGAGGCTGAGGCAGGAGAATCGCTTGAACCCGGGAGGCGGAGGTTGCAGTGAGCCAAGATTGCGCCACTGCACTCCAGCCTGGGTGACAGAGCGAGGTGCCATCTCAAAAGAAAAAAAAAATTCTACAGATAAATAAACTGTGATATATTCATACAATACACAACTATATAGCTGGAAATGTTATATTTCTTGATCTGGCAGTAATTACATAGGCATGTTTGCTTTGTGAAATTCACTAAACTGTACATTTATGACTTGTGCAAAATTCTGTTATATAGGTTATACTTCAATACAAAGTTTAAAAAAAAAGATTAAGAAATCGTGGAAAAAGATGTGATGTAGGCCAGCACGCTTCCTAGAGATCTCTTTGCCACTCTGACCAACTATCAAGGGAAGGTTCTATAATTCCAAACTCCATGGCTTTAAATGGCATTCCATTAGATGTTGGGAAGTCAAAATATCATAGTAACCTTTTCAACAAATACTTACTATGTGCCTGCAATGTATCAGGCACCACTGTAGACTACTCTAGGTACTGAATATACAGCGGTGAAGAATACATACCAAGTCCCTGCCGCATTCACTATCATTGGAGAAACAATGAGAAATAAATAAGCAAATAAACCCTAAAGGTAGGTAATGTGTGATATGAAAAGAAAAAGCAGAACGAGTGGATAAAGAGGGACAGATGTTGGTGTTGTAATTTTGGACAGGAGGAAATAGAAAGGTCTCTCTGAGAAAGCCATTTCCATTCCTTACCACAATATAAACTCCATGATATATATGTCAAAACACATACAACACACACCAACTTCTCTGCCTTAGTGAAAAATGATTAATGAGAATGAAAAATTAAAGAGCTAAAAGGAATTTTTAGAGCTCAGTAAAATAAAAATAGTACATATACAAACCAACTATTTCATTTTTTGTACCTACTTGTTAGTCTGGTTGACAGTTATGCTACTTCCATTAGGAATTAAGTTTGTGTCGTTTCTGTCCCAGTGCACCTGTAACCGCAAATGAACTCAGATAATATCTCCAACATAATTCTGAACAATCTATCATCAATAAAAACACTTTGGAGCATACTTTCTAAAAAGAATGTGTTAAAATGTACATTTTTGTCATAAAAGCTAGCAAGGAATGTACAAACAAAAAATTACACCCTATCATACTGAATAAAAATAAATTTTTTCAAAGCTTGAATTCTCTTATTTTAACTGATCAAATTAAACAAATTAATTGGAAAATTGCTACATCTCAGTATTCACTTCATACAGCATAGACCCAGTATGGTAGATTTACAAAAATGGCCATGAATTCTTCCCATCCTAGTTCTCCTGCCCCTTTGCCTAGTGGCTTTGCAACACTTGCAATCAAGGGGAGAGGCTATCTCTTCAGCCACTGAATCTCGGCATGGCCATGTGAGGTACTTTATTTAGCCAATGGGATCTGACAGAAGCAGAAGCATGTGTGGTGGGGCTTGCTATCGCTTCCTCTCTGTAACCCTAAGGCCACCATGTGAAGAATAAAGACTGCAGTCTTGCTTCAAAAGCCTCAGCTAGCCTATTGGAGAATGAAAGACCACAGGGAACAGAGACAAGCTGTTCCAGCTGATACCCTATAACCCAACCAGCCTGCCAGTGACTGGGCATGTGAGTGATACCACTGTAGACCATCCAGCCTGGCCAAGTCGGCCCAGTTCAGAAACCCACAAAATTGTATTTGTTCTTTTAGGGCACTAGGTTTTAGGGTTGGCTGTTACATAGTAAAATCTAACTGATGCACCTAGATCATGATGAAGAACAATACCTTTTTCACTAATTTATTCAGGTTTTTTTTTTAAGTAAAAGTTGACATGTTTAGTTAAATATGTAAAGGGTTAATCAGATTAAAACTAATCTGTTATCTGCTTTTATTGTTACTCACATTAAAATGGATGTAAAATACTTCCTCAAAGTTATCACCTTCATCATCCAGAAGTGTTTGCAAATTCCTAAGGAAAAAATAATCTTGCTTTTAAAAAGGTAATAACCATGATCACTAGACACAGCATCTAAAATAAATGTCAAGTGTATAGCTATTCTGAAGGTATGAGGTCAGGTATAGTTCACAGCACCTCTTTCTCTGCGTACTGATAGTCTAAACAGGGCCAGACCTCAACTAAACATGTCAAATTTAAGAAGCTTGTCTGCATTTCTGCAGGCTGCCTGCCTGCTTCACAGCTCTTGTTCCTTTACCTTAAATTCCCTACCTAATGATTGTAGGTTTCTATTTAGAAAAGGATTCTAACGTTCACTGATAGTGAATTCATTCAAACTGGTGTTACCTTTATTGAAGCTTTTGAACTTTACTTACAGAATAGGTCTCATATTAAATTTCAGGTATCAGTAACTCTGAGGTGGGTCAAAGGACCTTCTCTGCACCTCTTGTCCCAATATCATCAAGCTTAAGAAACACCTGAAATTAGACTACCTTAATAATTTCAGGGCATTTGTGAGAATAGAGGTCACATCAAAATGGACAGTAACCAATTTTTAAATTATTTCCATCCTATCATCCTATGATGCTTTATACATGCTTTTGAAATAACACATCTCATTGTATTTGCTCATTCACTCAAATATTTATTTAACAAACATTTAAGTAGCCCCTACTATAGCAGGCATAGGGGATGTAAAGTTGAGACTAAGATATCACTGCCAATACTCTGGGACTTGAAGGTGAGGTATGCTGATGGGAGTCTCACCTACAATACAGTGAGGTATGTGCAGCCAGAGAACTATGGAAATCACACAGGTATAGGCTTAAAAGAGCACAGTTAAATTTTTCTGAAGGGATACATGACATTGGGAAAGGCCTCTGGGATAAGGTGGAATCTGAACTGATTTTTTTTCCCCACTGGGTTTTTAAATTACTGTATTGTGAAGTAACAGACCATGTTTTATTCATTGTGGGTTGTTTTTGTTTTTGTGGGGAAGGCGGTGAACTGTTCTCCAGCTGTGATCCTGTGAAATCGAACAAGTTACCTGCTTCTAAAATACAATGGTAGGCCAGGTACAGTGGCTCACGCCTGTAATCCCAGCAATTTGGGAGGCCGAGGCGGGTGGATCACTTGAGGTCAAGAGTTTGAGACCAGCCTGGCCAACATGACAAAACCTCATCTTTACTAAAAATACAAAAATTAGCCAGGCATGGTGGCATGTGCCAGTAATTCCAGTTACTCAGGAGGCTGAGGGACGAGAATCGCTTGAACCTGGGAGGTGGAGGTTGCAGTGAGCCCAGATTGCACCACTGCACTCCAGCCTGGGCCACAGAGTGAGACTCTGTCTCAAAATAAATAAATTAAATAAAATACAACAGTGGAACAGGCATAGGATAGACATTCCCATTTCAAAAGGGAATAACAGAAATAAGAAAGGGGTAATAGGTCCCAACTAAGTCCAAAACTCAAAATGGCATGCAACATTAAATCTTAAGGCTTGAGAATAATCTTTGACTCAATGTCCCACTTTCAGGACACACTGGGTTTGGGGTTGGGCTCCTAAGTTTCCAGGCAGCCCTACACCCATGACTTTGCTGGGCAAAGCCCACCCCTAGAGGCTCTCACACATTAGTGTTGGGTGCTTTTGATTCTCCCTCAGGCTGGAACTGCACACTGGTGGCTCTTCTCGGGTCTCTAGAGCAGCCTCACTCCCATGACTCCACTAGGCATTGCCTTAGTGGGGGCTCTCTGCAGTTGCCTCAACCCTGTGCCAGTTCTCTGCCTGGACCCCATGGCTCTGTGGAGTATCCTTTGATATCTAGGTGGGAGAAGCCAAGGCCCCACAGCTTGTGCACTCTGTGCCAGCAGAGATGGCACAGCCACTGTGACCACACCACACCTGGGGCCACTGGAGTCACACCTGGGTCAGCTGAGGAGCACTGTGCCAGAATGCAATGAGTAGGGACTTGAGGCAGCGCTGGACATCAAATGTCCAGGTCCTGTGGGCACACAAAGCCACTCTTGACATAGTTCTGTCCTCCAGGCCTTGGCACTCAGGGCCTATGATGGGAGTGACAGCCCCCAGTGATCTCTGAAATGCCTTTGGGATCATTCTTCCATTGTCGTGATGAATAGCACCAGGCTTCCACCCATCCACACTAACCTCTTTATTAATAAAAAGAGTCACCTGGCCATACCCTTGGTGCTCTCTTCCAAACACGTTTGCATTCTTTACAACATGGCCAGCCTGAGAATTTCCAAATCTTTAAGTTTGGCTTTTTTTCTAATGATAAATTCCACTTTAAATAATTCTCCCTGCTTGCATTTTGGTATAAGCAGTCAAGAAAAGCCATATTGTTCCTTTACCACTTTGCTTAGAGATTGCTTCTGCCAAATATCCTATTTCATTGTTAAGAATCTGACTTTCCACAAAACACTAGGATACAACAGAATTCAGCCACATTCTCTGCCACTTTATATAGTAACAAGGAGCACCTCTCCTCCAATTTCCAATGTGTTCCTCACTTCCATCTGAGACCTCATCAGAATTGCCTTTATTGTCTACGTTTCTACTAACATTCTGATCATGACCACTTAGGTAATCTCTAAGAAGACCAAGGCTTTCTCTAGAGGTCTCCTCTTCTTCTGAGCCCTTGCCAGAACTGCTCTATAGGGCAATACATGATTTTTCTAGCATGTGCCTCAAAACTCTTCCACTACTTACTAATTACCTAGTTCCAAAGTTGCTTCCAACACCACACTTCTTGGTAGCAATTTCCCTTAGTCCATTTACGCTGCCATAACAAAATACCTTAGACTGGGTAATCTATAAATAGAAATTTATTGCTCACGGTTCTGGAGGCTTGGAAGTACAAGATCAAAGTGCCAGCAGATTCGGTGTCTGAATCTAAAGGGAATAGGTGACGACCCATTCCTTTTCAATGGTGTCCTCTGTGTCCTCTCATGGTGGAAGGGGCGAACAGGCTCCCTTGGGCCTCTTTCATAGGGGAATGAATTCTACTCATGAGGGCTCCACACTGGGGATGAGGCTTCAAAATATGAATTTTGTGGGGGACACATTCAGACCCTGACAACACCTTCCCTTTTGCATTTTTCTAACACCCTCTTGATGAAGAAAGAAGTTCTTTAATCTTATTGCAATTAAATGTATTAAATCTTTTCTTTACTGTTGGTACACTGCATGTCTTGTTTAAGAAATCTCAAAGGTGAGAAAGATCATTCTCCTGTATTTTCATGATTTTTGCATTTAATATCTAAATCCTTCATCCACATGGAGGTGATTATCATGTATGGCATAAGACAAAGATCTACTTTCATTTTTTTCCCCAGATAGATATCATTTTTTTCCAGTTCCATTTATTGAGTAGTACTGCTATTCCCCTTGATCAAATATGTCACCTCTAATAAAGTTCCACATAGGCATGGGTCCATTTCTGAGCTCTATCGTCTGTTCTATCGGAAAACCTGCACCAATATCATACATCATACTGTCCTGACTAATACAGCTTTCTAATAATTCTTGATAGCTGACAGACCAAGTTCTCCATCCTTATTTGCCTTAAGAATTATTTCTGGCTATTCTTGACCCTTTGTTCATCCATATAAATTTTAGAACCAGGTTGTGAAGTTTAATAAAAAGCCTCCTGGGATTAAAATTGAGTTTTACTGAACACAGAGATCACTGGTTCTCAAAATGTGAGCCAGACCAGCAATTCTTGGGAATCCTTGGGCCTTTACAGAGTTCATGAGGTCAAAACTATTTTCATAACATTATTAAGATGTTATTTGCCTATTTTCACATTCTGCTGTGAGTAAACAGAAGAGTTTTCATGAGGCTATATGATATTGTGGAATGCTCTGCTAACAGATATTTGTGTATTCCTGTGTTTAAAATATTTAATTTCTAATCCCGTAAATATTGACAGATGTAACCAACCTAACTAAAAGCGCTTTGGAGTCCTCAATATTTTTAAGAGAATCTTAAGACCTAAAAGTTTGAGAAACAATGATACAAATTTAAAGATCTTTTAGTTCATGTACATTGTTAATTATCAGTCTTTTGAGGCATAATTATTATTTAGGTTATCTTCGATGTTTCCAGTAAAATAATAATGACAAATTTATCTCCTTCTTTCTAAATCTTGTGCTTTTGATTTTTTTTTCCTTGTCTTATTAGTACAGTTAGTATAAACGATTAATAGACTCTGGAGCCAGACTGTGTTCAGATCATCGTTCTGCCATTATGGGGCCTTGAGCAAGTTACCTAATCTTTCTGTGTTTTAGTTTCTGAATCTGTAAAAGAGGGATGATAATAATACTAGAATCATATTACTGTTCTTATTCTTTTTTTTTAATTGAGACAGGGTCTTCTACTGTCGCCCAGGCTGGAGTGCAGTGGTATGATCACGGCTCACTGCAGCTTCGACCTCCTGAGCTCAATCTATCCACCTGCCTCAGCCTTCTGAGGTGTGCCTCCTGGCATGTGCCACCATGCCCAGCTAATTTTTGTTGTTTTTGTTTGTTTGTTTTTGTAGAGATGAGGTCTCGCCGTGTTGGTCAGGCAGGTCTCAAACTCCTGGGCTCAAGCAAGCCACTTGCCTCAGCCTCCCCGCAGTGCTGGGATTACAGGGATAAGCCATCATGCCTGGCCTGTTCTTACTCTTTAAAAATAAAAATCTCTGTAGTATTCCATTTGCATAAGTATACCAAAAATATATCATTCCCTTAGTGAAGGACATTTAGGGAGTCTTTATATTATAAACTATAAATACAGTATATATTACTATACACTGATCCTTGCATGGTTGTGTATTTCTGAAAGTTAAATGTCTAGAAGTAGAATTGTTGAGTTGAAAAGGCAAATATGTTTTGATTTTGCTAAGTCCTGCCACACTGTTCTCTGAAAAGGAGTACCAATTTATATTTCCACGAATAATACCTGAAATTAAAATGAAAGTTTTCAAGCCCTTGCTAATACTATATAGCATCAACACTTCAAACCACTGTCAACTTGAAGTATAAATTAGCCTCTCACGTTAATATGCATTCTATGAGCACTGGTGAGATTGAAGACATTTTTATTTAGGAAGCATTTCTATTGCTTCTTTGCCAGGTTGCCTTCTTGGATACTTTGTGAATATTTCTTACGGATGTGTAGGAATGCTTTACACAGCAGGGATATGAAAACCCTTTTACTGTTGCCATTTTTTGGTGAGGTGGTGGCTTGTCTTTTAACTTAGAAATAAGTTTCCATTTTAAAGGTGATGACATGAAACAACATTTAACATAAATATCACTAGCAGATTTTGCACCAAGGTGTAACCTGTGCTCTGTGCATGACTGTTCCTACACAGAAAAAGTTGAAAGATTAATGCAAACATTGAAGTCTAGTTATGGGAATAATCAACACTTCCTAATTTTAGAAAACGAAATTATCATCCAACAATTCTTGTCAAAGTTAAAACTGGTCTAAAGTACCTAAAATGCTGCTGTTGAACATGGAAATATTATGAAGCGTGTGTACTTAAATATTTGCCTAAATATATGTTAGAAAGGGTCCTTTCTCAGGAACTCTGTTTACTTACTTTCCCAAATCAGGACTGAGTTCTTTCAAGTCTTCCAATGATGGCATTTGGTCCAAAAGTTTCTTAAACAGTGCCAGTGGGAAAGGAAGGTTGGCAACATTGCAATTGAACAGGGAAAGTCCACATAGAACCCCAAAAAAGAAGTATCTTTTCTTCTCAAATTTAGGCTGAAAAGCGAAAAAAAAATCTTAAAGTATTATGAGTTTTTACCAGTACAATGAAATATTTATATTAAATAAATCTTTGTTTCTCTTTCATAAAATCAAATCTCAAATTGAAAAATTTAAAGCCTGAGATAAGAATGTTTAGGGTTTATATTAGGTTGGTGCAAAAGTAATTGCAGGTTTTGCCATTAAAAGTAAAGGCAAAACCTGCAATTACTTTTGCACCAACCTAATATTTGGTCATTAAGTCAATTTAAATCCCTGCCACTCTCACGCTTGTAATCCCAGAACTTTGGGAGGTCAAGGTGGACAGATAACCTGAGGTCAGGAGTTTGAGACCAGCCTGGCCAAACTGGTGAAACCCCATCTCTACAAAAAATACAAAAACTACCCAGGTGTGTTGGCAGGAGCCTGTAATCCCAGTTATTGTAATCCCGCCAGGCTGAGGCAAGAGAATGGCTTGAGCTTGGGAGGCGGAGGTTGCAGTGAGTTAAGATCATGGCACTGTACTCCAGCCTGGGTGACAGAGTGAGATTCTGTCTCAAAAATAAAGCAAAACAAAACAAACAAACAAATAAAAAACCAAATAAATCCCTGCCACAGTTTTGGTTCCTAAAAGCATACCAGCAATAAAAATACATTAGGTTCAGTAATCCTTATAAACTAGTTTTCACAATTTCTTTCCACAGCCTTTGTCTTCAAATTCATTAGGAAAACAGAACTGACACAAAGAATGAGTACCTAAAAAAGAGAGGGTTCCTTTTTAATCCATGCATTATATAAATGATCAAAAAATATATTGCTTGAGTTCGATGTGAACAGACATGGGAACCCAGGAAAAGGAAACTCCATTTTAAAGAAAATAATCACCTTATTAGAATTATACATTATCTCCATAATTATATCAATACTCCTCTTCTAACATGAAATAGTCTAGACAAACTAATTTTCTATGGTATATGGTGTACTTTTTCTGTCGCAAAATACCTTAAGCAAAGAAGAGGGAACTTACCTTGACAGGAAACCACATGCAGGAAGCCCCTTCAGGATACATGAACATCCCATATTCCGGCTGGATCATCTCTGCAAACAGACAGTAGAAGAACTCTTTCTTGACTCCTCCGAGGTCATACCCAATTTCTCCACTAAATGAAACCTGAGGAAACAGAGCAAATAATACATCACTTCCAGGGCTCTATATTGCTATATATGAAGTCTCATTTAATAATAGTAAATAGCTAACATTAATTGTGGACCCAAGTATTTGGAAGGCACTGAGGTAAGTATCCTACTTATATTATCATATTTAATCTCTACATTAATTCTATGAGATAACGAGGCCTTGAGAATTTAAATAACTTTTCCAAGTTTATACAATAGTCAGGTGGTGCAGCCTAGTTTTTTTGTTTTGTTTTGTTTTTTGAGATGGAGTCTCACTCTGTTGTCTAGGCTGGAGTGCAGTGGTCTGATCTCGGCTCACTGCAACCTCCGCCTCCTGGGTTTAAGCGATTCTCCTGCCTCAGCCCCCAGAGTAGCTGGGATTACAGATATGCACCACCACGCCTGGCTAATTTTTTTGTATTTTAAGTAGAGACGGGGTTTCACTGTGTTGGCCAGGCTGCTCTTGAACTCCTGACCTCAAGTGATCCACCCACCTCAGCCTCCCAAAGCGCTGAGATTACAGCCATGAGCCACCACACCCGGCCTACAGCCTAAATTTAATCCTTTATCAGTCAAACCCCAGAGCCTAAAGTTTTTACCACTTTAGGTAAAAGTTTTACCTAAATTGACCTCAACTGGCATCACTATTATAGTCACCAGATCCAAGTATAATAAAAATAAACAGAAAGAAATCATAAAAATTGGCCGGGCGTGGTGGCTCACACCTGTAATGCCAGCACTTTGGGAGGCCGAGGTGGGCGGATCATGTGAGGTCAGGAGTTCGTGACCAGTCTGGCCAACATGGTGAAACCCCGTCTCTACTAAAAATACAAAAATTAGCTGGGTGTGGTGATGCATACCTGTAATCCCAGCTACTCAGGAGGCTGAGGCAGGAGACTCACTTGAACCCGGGAGATGAAGGTTGCCATGAGCCAAGGTCGCACCACTGCTCTCCAGCCTGGGCAACAGAGTGAGACTCTGTCTCAAAAATAAATAAATAAATAATAAAAATCAGGATATTCAAAAAACCAGAGCACACATAAGGTGTTTGCTGAAGTGGCTGTTTGCTCCCCGAGGAGGCTGCACCCCTACTGCTGACACCAATCCCTCCCAAGAGGATGCTATCATAACCCATCTTTGCTCCTTCAGTCACCCCTCCATTCCTGCCTTTTCCTGGAATCCTTCACTTCCATTCACAAACATGTTAAGGTCCCCCTTAACCTTAAAAGGAAAAAAAAAATCCCAACACATTGTCTCCAATACAAACACGGGCTCCTTCCACTCTTGCCAAACTTCAGAGATATACGCCAACTTCCAAACCCACTTCTCCACTTAAATGGGTCTCTCCAAGAAGAACAAGAACTGTAAATCCCCAAGCTCCAAGGACTTTTTCTCATATCTCATCTCCTTGATTTCGTTAACTCATTTTCCACTTCTGATCATGTCCTTTTCCTTGACACAATCTTCTCCCTTGCTTTCTCCTATGAAGCACTCTTCACGGTTTTATTTATCTCTTCTTTTTCCTGCTGGCTTAATTTCTAGAAACAGAATTGCAGACAGTTCTATCCTAACACTTCTGTCCTTTCTCTCTGTTCTTTCCCTGGATGCTCATTTTCTCCTTAAACTTTGTTTACCACCCATACGTATTTAACCTTCAGATTCAGTGCATTTTCTCTCCTGATTGACAGTCACTTCCAACGGCCTGTTCAACATTTCTACCCAGATGTTATACTAGCATCCCCAGAAATCTCCTCTTACCAGTTTATTTATTTAGATGCTGCCTCTTCCATTCCTCTTGGTGAAATAGTGAAATACTAAAAATCTTTGTAGCAAGACCAGGTGTCAAACCCTTCCCCCTCTTCTTACTAAGGACAAGCTGCCCAACCTCATAAAACCTCAGTTTTCCCACAAGATTATCAGAAAGATTACAGGGGTCATACATGTAAAATGCCTCACACAGAGCCTGCAAATGGTAAATGCTGAGTGTTACCTGAATTTAAAAACTGAATGAACAATATATAAAAGTGGAACTCAAATAATCGAGTAGACTGACTGGCAAAGCATAGAATCACATAACGAGTCCATTAGAGTTATACAATTATCTGTGTGCAAAAATACATGGAAATACCAACTCTAACTGCAATATATATATTTTTTTCCTTGAGACAGAATCTTGCTCTGTCGCCCAGGCTAGAGTGCAGTGGGGTAATCTTGGCTCACTGCAACCTCCACCTCCTGGGTTCAAGAGATTCTCACTGCCTCAGCCTCCCAAGCAGCTGGGATTACAGGCGCCCGCCACCACACCCAACTAATTTTTGTATTTTTAGTAGAGATGGGGTTTCACCATGCTGGTCAGGTTGGTTTCGAACTCCTGACCTCAGGTGATCTGCCCACCTCAGTCTCCTAAAGTGCTAGGATTACAGGCATGAGCCACTGTGTCTGGGGCAATATGCTTTTAAATTGGTATCTTGAGACTTGGTAAAGTCAATCTTTCTTTAATCTGAGTAGGAGAAGTGATAAACTAAGGTCCCCAATAAAAAATACTCCATTTACTAAATATTATCAGGCCAATCTTTATCCGTCTTCATTAAGCAGAAAGTCTAGTGCTTAATGGCCAGGCCCAAATCCTCTGATGCTTATCAGTTGGGTTACTCTTGGATAAGTTACCTAATAGTTCTGTACCTCAGTTTCCCCATCTGTAAAATGAGGGAAAAACAGAATCTGCCACATAATGTTGTTGAAAGGGTTAAAAAATTAGGTATAAGGCACTTAAAACAGTTCTTGCCACAAGGACAGCACTCAAAAGATCTACTGGTCATTATGATTCAGTATCAAATATTTACTAATAAGACAAATTATATGGTAATTAAACAAAAAATCAGTTAAAGATCTTCCGAACATGGTCAAATCTACAATTATACCCCAAAATAACTGTAGGATTTAAAGAGAAAATTCTCTTTTCTACAAAGCAATTTAGGTTATTATTTTTGTTTTTTTTGAGACAGAGTCTCGCTCCGTCACCCAGGCCGGAATGCAGTGGCATGATCTCGGCTCATTGCAACCTCTGCTTCCTGGGTTCAAGTGATTCTCATGTTTCACCCTCCCGAGTAGCTGGGATTACAGGCACCCACCACCACACACGGTTCATTTTTGTATTTTTAGTAGAGACAGGGTTTTACCATGTTGACCAGGCTGGTCTCGAACTCCTGACCTCAGGTGATCCACCTGCTTCAGCATCCCAAAGCGCCGGGATTACAGGTGTGAGTCACCATGCCTGTCCCAATTTAGGTTATTGCATAAGAACAAAAACAACCCCTTAATTCTCCTCTATGCTAACCATCTCATTGAAACCCTTCAAGGGTGGTGCTAGCCAGGCTAGGCCAGACCTCAGAAGGGACTGGACCTCTTAGGGCCAACACTGAACTATCTACCTGAGCAGGGTGTGGGGAGAACAACCACTTTGCCTGCTGCTCCTTAGCCCAAACATACTGAGTGAGTGCCCACAGCTATCACCCAAAACTCAAAGGCAACTAGGGAATCAGAGGAACCCTAAAATAAACAACCTCTGTGGCAAAGGAAGATAACTTCCTCTCTATGAAACCCTTTGCCACATTCTTTTATGTTTTTCTTTTCTCAGCAGCAAAAACATTAAGTGAGAATTACACCTTACCCATAACTCTTTCCTCAGGTCTTCATTCTCAAATTGACTTAGCTGATTCAAAACATCCTCAATCAAGTGATTCCTTCTGACTGTTAGATCAAACGTGGGCCTCAAAGCGAATTCAGACTCTCTTTCTTCCTCAATTGCTGCCGACCTAAGATAAGCTTTATGTTTTTTACTCTAGGAAAACAGAAACAGAAATATTACACTTCATTTTACCATTGGCCCTCTCTAAGTAAAAATTTGGAAAGCAGAATAAACTGGTTCTGCTTATAAGTGCAGGTCACATTTATGAAAAGAACCTTATATGCACCACTGAAGATAAATGATAACATCAGTATTTAGTCTCAGTGAGCAGAGGAAACAAGGGACCTGAAGAATCAAAGCCTTTGTGGAGCCAAGCTGGATGAGCAAGTAAGTTACCAACTGCAGGTTTTAAAGGACCACTTTCTCCTATACACACAATTATTAATGCTTAAGATACCAAAGCTACTTATTAACAGGCTAAGAGATGTATTGGTATCCACTGAAACAGTGCACTGCAACATGATGCTCTCTCATTCCGAAGAGAAGTTCAGATGTTTAGAAAGCAAACAGGCTGCAGGAAAAAAAATCCAGGTTATGAGAGATGTCACCAAAGAGCCTACTCCAGGAAAAAAAAAACCAAGACAAGAGATTTTAAGGGAGAATTTACCTAAGAAGTTAATTGAAGAGAGACAAGCAGGGAGAGAGAGTGGGAGAGACAGACAGACAGACAGAATGTCCATTCTGAAACCAAATGGCAATTTTAGGTCATTAAAGTCTATGGTTCAGGGCCAGGCACGGTGGCTCACGCCTGTTAATCCCAGCAGTTTGGGAGGCTGAGGCGGGCGGATCACTTGAGGTCAGGAGTTTGAGACCAGCCTGGCCAACATGGTGAAACCCTGTCTCTGCTAAAAATACAAAAATTAGCTGGGTGTGGCGGCGGGCACCTGTAATCCCAGCTACTCGGGAGGCTGAGTCAGGAGAATCGCTTGAACCCAGGAAGTGGAGGTTGCAGTGAGCCAAGATCATGCCACTGCACTCCAGTCTGGGCAACAGAGGGAGACTCTCTCTCAAAAAAAAAAAAAAAGAAAAAAAAAGTCTATGCTTTTAGCAGAAAAAGGAGTAGTCAAATATTACTTCTACGAAATTATCTCTGGAACCTTGTTTAAAATCAGGAGAGAATAGGTTATAAGAGTTGAAGCAAAACAAAGTTCTTTTATCTTTTTATCTTTGATTTCCCTTTGTTAAATATTTCATTACAGTCATACTCAGAACTCATAAATCAATTTCCCATTTTTATTATGGTAAATGCATTATATGAAACTATCTGCTTTAAGGACATATATTTGAATATTATACATACATATAACATATGTCTGCATATGTAAAAGTGATAATAATACCCAACCCTTTGGGTGCTTTGTGTGAGGCAGTTTTAAATGCTTTACCTATATTAACAAATTTAATCATTATTAAATTGCAATGCGGCAGGGATTATCTGATACAATTCCTTGGGAATTTTCAATTGCCCAATTTTACTACTTTGGTGGTAAAATATTTTGTTAATGGTTGGTAAAATATCCATCCACTTTGCTGGATACATCTACAAACATAACCACCTCAGCTAGTAACAGTACCGTACATGGAAAAGGGAGGAATCTGTACAAACCTCTTTTATGGCACCATCACAGAGTAGTAGCCATTTATTGGGCTCCTAATTTCAGGAATCCTCAGCCACTTCTATTCCTGCTACCGTATCTTTTCATTAGATTGTGCCTCCTTACATAGGTGCTAGTCAAGCCCAAGTCTGTTACACCTAATCAAGCCCAAGTTTGTTATACCTCTTTGAGTACTATTCAGAAGACTACAGGCTGCCACTGCCAACTTCAGGTAAAAACCCGACAACTAGGCCAGTTGTCCAAGCTCCATCCCTTGCTACCAAGGCCCTAATTTGCCTTAAGGTGAAGATGATTCAAATTATGACAGTCTGCCTTGCCGTCTTCATTAGAGTATAAGCTCCTTGAATGCCACAACCATTGGTTTCACTGGTAGGTGGTTCTCTTATCACCCCCAAAATACTGCATGATTAAGAAGGCGCTTAGCATGTGATTTATGCTAATGAAGACAAATAGGCATACATACCTCTATTTTTAAAAGTGTGTCTGTATGTAGTAGTTTAATTTTCGACAGATTATTAAAGATAAATGGAAAGTGACTGAATATGACGCAGCATTGTACATTTTCTGAAGCGTCCTAAAAATGGAAATGACAATAATTCTGATAAGTTAAAGGACAGAGAAACCTTACACTTTACCTCATAGCCTTACATCCCTGATGGTTTAAGGTCTCAGTACTTCCAACAAAAGCAATCCAAATTACTGGTCCATAGTACCAGTAGTAGAAAATGTGTTTTATATGTATCAATGAAAGGTATATAAAGAGAATGTTTAGTGCCCATTTAATTTAGCAATTAATTATAAACTTTGGATGCTTTCCCAAAGAGTCTGTTCTGCTGAAACCTGAGTTTCTACCATGTGAATAAGCTCAGTTGCATTTGATAAACGGAGAATGATATAACATGGGTAGCTGGTTAGCTCATACATGAATTTTGCTGGGCAAGACTTGATGTGCTAGAAGGAGAATTATAACCTTCAGAGAAAGGGAGAAACACTTCGGGTCAACTGCTACCTTGGCAGCAGGAGCCCTTCAACTGTATTTTCAGAAAATAAAAAAGGAGTGCTTACACCCAAGACACTCTACCCACAGGGTCTTGGCTCTTGGCTCCTGATGAGTCTCACTGCCTTGTTATGACCACTTTAAGGGTATCAGAGCTCCACTAGTCCTTCTCTAATTACAGTATAGACAGATTTCTACCCTTTCCTTTTTGTGCATTTTTCATACTCCCATAGTCATCTCCCAAGGTGCCAATCACTTTTCTGCTGGAACTCTGACTGCAAAATTGCATAGATTTTGAGGAGTCTTAATGTTTCCCACAAGTCCTGCTATTTCTATTGTGCAATTTTGCAGAGGACAAGAAATG
The DNA here is from genome assembly GCF_000001405.40 of Homo sapiens. Lineage (NCBI taxonomy): Eukaryota > Metazoa > Chordata > Mammalia > Primates > Hominidae > Homo > Homo sapiens. The sequence goes on along the minus strand of NC_000004.12, from coordinate 88,486,281 downwards.
CCTGTATTAACTCACTGATTATCAATTTCCCCCTTTAAACATGCTATACCTACCACAGTCATTTTCCACAAGTACCTTCTGCATACTTCTACAAAAAAATTGAGACGGTGCAAGAGTTCGTCTACTTGGAAAATACTTTCAGGTAGTTGACATTTCACCTGGTTTACCTTAAATAAAATATGACTTGTGAAAAAGTTTTATATTTAAAGACAATTTTGCTTAATAGCTGTTAATTAGATTATCAGATTAAATTATAAATGAAACACTCTTATAATGACCAGAATAAAATTCTATCCAATTCCTCCACTGCCAGAGCCCCAAATTTTCATGAACATAAAGAATATCTAAGATTTAAGAGTAGAGATTGATGATGTAATGATAAACCTCTAGTTATTTTTAATTCATAGGAAATTTTTAAAGAACTTTCAATAGGAAGAAAAAAAAAAACAATGCAATATCCCAAAGTACTCTGGGGTCCAGTTCTTCATGTCTTAGTCTTTAGGACTTAATAATATACCACTTATAGACATTCACTCTGCTGAGGCATTTGTGGAACATTCCCCTACCGAGAGGAAATTTTCCAACCCTCCATCCCATATGATATGATCAGGGTTATTATGACAGACACATGAACACCCTGGCATGTCGTGAAGACAATGAATAATAATGACACTAGACACTTCAGACATTAGTGACTGTTAGTATTTGACTTGGATGGGCGTTATCCTGAAATAAATTACTCTCAGGTGGTCTTCTAAAAACTCATCTTGGCTATATGCACTGAAACCATGTGTCTAGAATGTTCTTATTGACTCTCGTCCAGGCCTCAAATATTCCAGGCCTCCCAGTACTACCACCCAAAGTCTGGTGAGACTGTTTCACCCTGTAACTATGGCCCTCTGGATCTGATGATCTTGGCCTTACATTTATCATTATTAGCCTTAAGATCTCCAGAGTCACAGAGAAAGTGGGTACTTCATCTTCATGGTTCCTGGTGGCCTCCTGCTGAGGTGGGGAGCCTGACAAATATAAAATATTCTGATATTATCTATTACGGTCAAAGGACAAAGCGGGATCCCCTGAAGATTTCTTTTGTTGCTGCTTCAGTATTTCTTGTGATTCTCCTTGTAAGTGGCAAAAGCTTGTTAGAATATACCTTCCCAGAGCTCTTCAATAAATTTCTCATTTTTTCAAAACACAAATTATTTTTCATTAACCTTTCCCTTTTGTAAAAAAAAAAAACCTTTAAAAATTGTTGAAAATAGCCATTGTTTTTCAATAGTATGGCAGATTTTTTTCTTCAGCAGTATGATATATTAGGTACCCTGATCCACTGAAAACACCTAGAAATACAGGAAAAGCTGTAACAAACATGTTTAAAGGCATTACTGATTTTTTAGGTAGATATGGAATAATCAGGTCAAAAACTTAAATGAAAGTGGCATTTGCCTTGAGAGCATCTGCCCAACCTGGTGAATGTAAACTTCAATTTTCAATGGTTGGGGCTTTGGGGAAAGGAGGCAAAGCCTAGACTGTTCAAATTAGGGAGTCCATAGGAGAAGTTATCCCCACAAGTCTGAGACCGAAAAGGGTTAAACCATCAGGTAAGGATGAACTAGAAATGAATAAGCTCTTTCCTCCACTGCCATATCAATCACTCCACCTCCACCTTGACCCCAGGACCACAAGGCAAACTGTTCCAAGTTCAAATGGTGCTGAGTTGGGGAAAAATTATCCCCTATAGGATCTGTAATTACAAAAGAGCTCTCCTTCAACTTTGCCACCAAATTCTAAAAAGCTTCAAGCCAAAAATGTAAAGTACTACCAAACTGGTGGTATCTCTAGGAGCCTGGCAGAAGAAAATTCTCTGCGAAGAAAGCCAGCCCTCAAGTAATTCCAAAAGATAAAGTTCCAAGGAAAACAGACAGCTCTCACACATACACAAATCACAACATACATGAGCATAAAGACATCAGGAGGAAGATTAGCAGAAACTGACCTGCAAAGACTTCAGATACCTGAGTTATAAGGCATATATATTCAGATAAATAAAAGGAAAATGTGAAAAGAATGAAGAAATTATAAATAATGAGCAAGAAACTAAATTTAAAGAACAAATTCGAGTATCTAGAAATGAAAAACATTACTACTTGAAATAAAAACTTAAAAGGTAGTATTAATAGCAACCAAAATATCTGAAAAGAGAATTCATGAACTGGAAGATAGGGCTGAAGAAATACCATCCAGAATGGGGTACAGAGAGACAATGAGACGGAAAATATGACAGAAAGCTTAAGGGACATGCCAAATAGACTGAAAAAGTCTAACATGTCAATAACTGGAATTTCAAAAAAGAGAGTCAATATTCATTTAGATTTAAAATGTGGAACAATTTCTAAAAGGAGGGAAATATCCTTAACCTACAAAGGTTATTTTCAAAAACCTAATAGAAGGCCAGGCGCAATGGCTCATGCCTGTAATCCCAGCACTTTGGGAGGCCAAGGTGGGAAAATCACTTGAGGTCAGGAGTTGGGAGACCAGCCTGGGCAATGTGGTGAAACCCCATCTCTACAAAAAACTCAAAAATTAGCCAAGTGGGGTGGCATGTGCCTATATTCCTGGCTACTCAGGAAGCTGAGGCACGACGATAGCTTGAACCCAGGAGGCAGAGGCTGCAGTAAGCCAAGATCGTGCCACTGCACTCCAGCCTGAGCAACAGGATGAGACTCTGTCTCAGGAAAAAAAAAAAAAAAAAAAAAAAAGCCTATAGAGCCGGTGTGGTGGCTTACCCGGGTAATCCTTGCACTTCGGGAGACCAAGGCCCAGGTGGAGAATCACTTGAGGCCAGGAGCTCAAGACCAGCCTGAGCAACATAGTTAGGCCCTGTCTCTCCAAAAATGAAACAATTAGCTGGGCATGGTGGTGTATGCCTATAGTCCCAGCTACTCAGGAGGCTGAGGTAGGAGAATCACTTGAGCCCAGGAGTTCAAGGCTGCAGTGAGCCATGACTGCACCACTGCACTCCAGCCTGGGCAGAGTGAGACTCCAACTCAAAACAACAACAACAACAGCAAACCCCTATAAGTAAATGATACTAAAAGCATTTCCTTTGGAAACTAAGAATAGTCCATGAAAAAAAATTTCCTTTAAAATCACAAATAAGTATCCACTGTTCCCCCACTTCTATTTAACATCATATTAGAAGCCCTACCTAGAGCAAGACAAAGGAAAATAATAAAACGTATATGGACTGGAAAAAGAAAACATAAATAATTCAAAAGAATCTATAAGTAAATACTAGATATAACATGAGAATTTGGCAAATTTGCTGAATATAAGAATCACTATTCAGGCCAGGTGCAGTGGCTCACACCTGTAATCCCAGCACTTTGGGAGGCAGAGCCAGGCAGATCACTTTAGGCCAGGAGTTCAAGACCAGCCTGGCCAACATGGTGAAACCTCGTCTCTACAAAAAATACAAAAATTAGCCAGGCATGGTGGTGCACGCCTGTAATCCCAGGTACTTGGGAATACAGCCCTAGGACCATGGTTCTTGCAGTGGCTCTCCTCCAGCCAAGCCTCTTCCCCCAGAATAAGGGGTCTGCAGGGCCAGGGGGACCTGTCTATTTTCAGCCCACACATCCCCTTCTAGATTGGGCTGCATATACCAAGGACCTGGGATTCCATGTTCAAATGGTTCCAAGCCTGCTTCTGGCACAGGCCTCTCCCCGTGCTTGGTCTCTAGAGAGTGAACTATGTCACAACTGAGATCCTCCAGTCTCAGGGTTGGCTACGGAGGGTCTGTGGTGGGAGATGGGATGGAATTCAGACATATGGGCTGAGGTGTCCACATACGGGCATGTGACACCCCTTCTGGTGTGGGGACAAAATCAAGGGAGGAAAAGAAGAGCAGAGGGCTGCATTTAAGCTACTACTTCTCTTTTCTTTTCTTTTCCCTTTTTTTTTTTTTTTGAGATGGAGTCTTGCTCTGTCACCCAGGCTGGAGTGCAGTGACGCAATCTTGGCTCACTACAACCTCTGCCTCCTGGATTCAAGCGACTCTCCTGCCTCAGCCTCCCAAGCAGCTGGGATTACAGGCATACGCCACCACACCCAGCTAACTTTTGTATTTTTAGTAGAGACGAGGTTTCACTATGTTGGTCAGGCTGGTCTTGAACTCCTAACCTTGTGATCTGCCCGCCTCAGCCTCCGAGCAAAGTGCTGGGATTACAGGAATGAGCCACCACACCCAGCAAGCCACCATTTTTCAATGTAGAATTTTAAGAAGACTGAGATTTCTAAATTCAAACCTGGCCCTCCCTGTCATTATGAAGGTTTATTTGTCAAAAGAGGAGGACAGTATATTTTATTTTAACAGTTTGTTAGATAGGTTTTTAACCTTTTTAGGCCTCCATTTGTACTCTTCCTCTGGCCTTGGCTATTGTCCTCTTAGAATACTATCTAGGGCAGTTTTGCAGACCTAATCTAGCCCTCTGTTATTTTTATAGTCTTATTGGAACATAGCCATGACCATTCATTTTTGTATTGCCTGTGGCTGCTTTCATGCTACTCCTGAACAACTGAATAGCTGCAGTTGTGACAGAAACCACATGCCTCATAAAGCCTAAAATATTTACTATCTGGTCCTTTCCAGAAAAAAGCTGCCGACCCCTGATTTAGGGTAATAATTTAAAACCTTTATGGGAGAAAAAAAGTTTAAAACAAGACACAAGGAGTAAAATTATATAAAGAAACGGACAGACAAATTTATCTACATTAAAATTAAGAATGTGAGTTTGTCAAAAAACACCATAAAAGCAAAAGACAAGCTATAACTGGGATAAAATATTTGCAACACATATCATTGACAAAGGAGTAGTATCCAAAATAGAAAGAATTCTTGTAAGCACTAAGAAAAAGTCAAATATTGGCCTGGCACAGTGGCTCATACCTGTAATACCAGGACTTTGGGAGACTGAGGTGGGTCAATCATTTGAGCTCAGGAGTTCGAGACCAGCCTGGGCTACATGGCGAAACCCCATCTCTACAAAAAATATAAAAATTAGCAAGGTTTGGTGGCTTGCACATGTAGTCCAAGCTACTTTGGAGGCTGAAGTGGGAGGATCACAGGAGCCTGGGAGGCAGAGGTTGCAGTGAGCCGAGACTGCGCCACTGCACTCCAGCCTGGATGACAGAGGGAGAACCTGTCTCGAATCAAAACCCTTTATGGGAGAAAAGAAGTTTAAAACAAGACACAAGGAGTAAAAAGAAATGGATTGACAAATTTATCTACAATAAAATTAAGAATGTGTTTGTCAAAAAATACCATAAAGCAAAAGACTAGGATACAGTATTTGCAACACATATCATTGACAAAAGAGTAGTGTCCAAAATAAAAGAATTCTATAATCAGTAAGAAAAAGTCAAACATCATTTAAATGAACAAAAGTCAAGGACAGGCATTTCACAGAAGGGGAAACAAATATTGCAATTACAAACATGAAAATATGCTCTAGTGCATTTGAACCAGGGAAATACAATTAAAACCATAATTTGGTATCATTTCCTATCAAAAATATTTTCAAAATGTTAAAGTCAGACATGGAGCAATGGGAATTCTCATCATCTGGAGAGAATTTAAATTGGTCCAACTGCTTTAGAAGTTTGTCACTACCAGTAAAGAACAACACACACATATCCGTAGCTTATCAATTCTAGAATTAGGTATGAAACCCAGAACCAATCCTTGATACAAGAAAACCAAGAGATATGAACAAAAATGTTTATAGCAGCATGTTTTCTCATAGAGGAACTCCCAACAAGACAAAAAAAAAAAACACACACAAGAATTGCAAACAGCATATATATCTGTCAATATTGGAATGGATAAGCTAAGTATGGTATATTCATACAATGAACTATACTGCAGAGTGAAAATGAATGAAATACAGCCATAAGCATTAATCTGGATGAATCTATAAAACATTGAGTGTAAGAAGCAGTATTCCATTCACATAAATTTTGAAAATAGCAAAATTAAACATCATAGTGTCTAGAAATACATACATATAGTTCTAAAATAGTAAGAGCAAGGGAATGATTATCCCGAAATCCAAGATCATGACTACCTCTGGGAGATGGAGGGGTTGCAACCCATGAGGGGTACACGGTATTTCTAAAGCACACAGGTTATTTCTTTTTTTTTTTTTTTTTTTGAGACGGAGTCTCGCTCTGTCGCCCAGGCTGGAGTGCAATGGCGCGATCTCTGCTCACTGCAAGCTCCGCCTCCCGGGTTCACGCCATTCTCCTGCCTCAGCCTCCCGAGTAGCTGGGACTACAGGCGCCCGCCACCACGCCCAGCTAATTTTCTGTATTTTTAATAGAGACGGGGTTTCACCATGTTAGTCATGATTGTCTCGATCTCCTGACCTCGTGATCCGCCCGCCTTGGCCTCCTAAAGTGCTAGGATGACAGGCGTGAGCCAACGCGCCCGGCCCAGCACACAGGTATTTCTAAAGTACTGGAAATGTTTTATTTTTTTAACATGGGTGGTAAGGACACTAATGTTTATTTTATTATTTTTCCTTGAATTCTAAATAGGTATTATATATATATTCCTTTATATGTATGATGTAATTTTAAAAAAAAATTAAAAAAATAGCAATATAAACTTCGTATGTCTCACACGAGTCTACTTAAAGATTCAAGCCAGCTGAAAGGAAGGGAATTTTTACAGCTAGATAAAAACACAGAGGTTTCTAAAGGAACTCTTACCCTGTGCAGCTTCTTCAACATTTCTAGGAGAGCTTGAACATTACCATTCTCCTCAGCACTTTCATCCCAGTAATCCAACTGGCATATGACGGCTGTTTTAAACATCTGGACCAGTTTGCTGAAAGTGGATTCTTGCAGAGTTGCCCAATACTCTTCTGAGGAACACAAGGAAAGCAAATTTTTTAAAAAATGAGTTTTATTGTGCTTTTTTTTTTTTTTTTTTGAGACAGAGTCTCACCCTGTTGCCCAGCCTGGAGTGCAGTGGCACGATCTCAGCTCACTACATCCTCTGCCTCCCAGGTTCAAGCAATTCTCCTGCCTCACCTTCCTGAGTGGCTGGAATTACAGGCGCCTACCACCATGCCCGGCTAATTTTTGTATTTTTATAGAGACAAGGTTTCACCATGTTGGCCAGGCTGGTCTTGAACTCCTGACCTCAGGTGATCCGCCCACCTTTGCCTCCCAAAGTGCTGGGATTGTAGGCATGAGCCACCTCACCAGCTTATTGGGTATATTTGAGGTCTACAAAATGTAATGGGATACATATAAATAGTAAAATTGTTACTATAGTGAAGCAAATTAACATTTTTTTGGTAGGCCAGGCATGGTGGCTCACACCTACAATCCCAGCACTTTGGGAGGCTGAGGCAGGTGGATTGTCTGAGCTCAGCAGTTCCAGGCCAGCCTGGGCAACATAGAGAAACTCGGTCTCTACCAGAACTACAAAAAATTAGCAGGGCGTGGTGGCACATGTCTGTGGCCCAGCTACTCGGGAGGCTGAGGTGGGAGAACCGCTTGAGACTGGGAGGTGGAGGCTGCAGTGAGCTGAGATTGTGCCAGAGCACTCCAACCTGGGTGACAGAGTAAGACCCCATCTCAAAAAAAAAAATATTTTTTTAAAGCAAAGACAGCTAACATCTACTTATTTAACAACAATAAAATCCCTAATACGATATGTTATTAACTACAGTCCTCCTGTTGTCTTATCTAGTAGATCTCTAAACTTGTTGATCCTACACATCTGCTTCTTTGTGTCCTTTGACCTACATCTCCACATTTCCTTTCCACCCCCATCCACTAGTAACCACTATTTTATTATCTATCTCTGCATATTTGACCTTCACAAGGAAGGTAAATATAATTATCACGTAATTTTACTTAGATTGTTGAAGGTAAAAAGTAGCCAAAATTTTTTGATACACATAACAAAATATTTTAGTATATATTATAATTACAAAAGCACACTTGTAATAAATTTTTCACTGAATAAATACAATTACTATTACAAGTTTAGAATTTAACTTTCTGGTTGCTTAAGCCCAGGAGTTCAAAGATTACAGTGAGCTACAATTGTACCACTGTACTCCAGCTAGGTGACAGTGAGGTCCTGTCTCTATTAAAAAATACTACTAATAATTTAACATCCTGGAAAAGTTCCTTTACAGTTAATACAACTACAAACTTGATGTAATTAATTTGTGAAAAAATATGAGCAAAATTAATCACATTCTTTGTGCAGATGAAATAGTATAATGTGTTAAAAATTAAATTAAAAATCGTTCGTGAATGCACAACTTTCTTTTTGTGCTTCCAGTCTGAGGTGTTTAACTCTTACAGAAAACATATTTCAGCATTTTAAAAAACAAAAACCATTTTAAAGTAGCTTTTCATCACTTATCATGTTATCCAGATTTAATAAAACATAAAGAATGGATTTCCTTGAGCTGAATATGCTATGTATGTCAAAAATCCCATTAAACTCTATTCATGCCCCTAGAACTTACTTGCGGTGTACTGGAAATACAGGGATAGGAAACGGTCAGACTATCTGGATGTGGGACAGTCTACAAGACAACTGACCAGAATTCATCCTTCCTTCCTCCTTCATTCCTTCCTTCCCTCCCTCCCTCCCTCCTCCTTCCCTTCCCATCCCCTCCCCTCCCTTCCCCTTCCCCTCCCCCACTTCCCCTTCCCCTCCCCCTCCCCCTTCCTTTCCGTTCCCTTCCCTTCACCTTCTCCTTCCCCTCCCCCTTCCTTTCCGTTCCCTTCCCTTCACCTTCCCCTCCCCGTCCCTTTCCCTTCCCTTCACCTTCCCCTTCCCCTCCCCTTTCCTTTCAGTTCCCTTCCCTTCACCTTCCCTTTCCCTTCCCCTCCCCTTCTCTTTCTCTCCCCCCTCCCCCTCCCTTCCCCTTCCCTCCCCTCCCCCTCCCCTCCCCCTTCCCCTTCCCTTCCCCTTCCCTCCCCTCCCCCTTCCTCCTCTCCCCTCCCCTCCCTTCCTTCCTTTCTTTTGATTGATTGTATTTTTAGTAGAGATGGGGTTTCACTATCTATCTATCTATCTATTGACTGATTATATTTTTAGTAGAGATGAAGTTTCACCATGTTGGCCAGGCTGGCCTCAAACTCCTGGCCTCAAATGAGATTCTTAAAAAAAAAAAAAAAAGCTATAAATACTTTTTACTTTTTTTGGGAAAAGAAGAGAAATTTGAATGACCTAGATATTGGATAATATTATAAAATTATGATTAATTTTCTTAGATATGATAATGATGCCAGGGTAATACAGGATTCCATGTTCTTTTTTTTTTGGGACGGAGTCTCACTCTGTCGCCCAGGCTGGAGTGCAATGGCGTGATCTTGGCTCAATGCAACCTCTGCCTCTCAGGTCAAGCGATTCTCCTGCCTCAGCCTCCCGAGTAGCTGGGATTACAGGCATGCACCACCAAGTCCAGTTAATTTTTGTATTTTTAGTAGAGTCAGGGTTTTGTCATGTTGGCCAGGCTAGTCTTGAACTCCTGACCTCAGGTGATCTGCCTGCCTCAGCCTCCCAAAGTGCTGAGATTACAGGCATGAGCCACCGTGCCCGGCCAGATTCCATGTTCTTAGATGAATGGTGAAATATTATGAGTGAAATCTCATGTCTTCAACTTATTTTCAAATAGTTCAGTAAAAATAAAATGTAATCTGTACATAAACAGAAAGCACAAATGACAACATACTTATTATTGCTGACTCTAATACCATAATTACAAAAGCACAATTGTAATAAACTTTTCAGTGAATAAATACAATTACTATTACAAGTTTAGAACTTAGCATCCTCATCACTTGAGCCCAGGGGTTTAAGATTACAGTGAGCTATGACTGTACCACTGCACTCCAGCAAGGTGTACCATTTATTGCATATGGTATACCATACTATTCTTTCAACTTCTCTGTGAAATTTTTCATAGTGAAAAGTTGGAAACTAAGGAAATCATGACAAAGCCATGTGTGTATCCAAGGAATCTAAAAAAGTATTAGAATAATCTATTTTAGATGACCATGGTAATTGTTATAGTACCTTTAGAGTATGCTAACAATACGAACTAAAAAAAAATGAATACATTTCTAAGTATCTTAGTTTTGCCATAACTTTACTAGACATGTCTTTCCACTGAGAAGACAGGTAAAGTATCTTCAAATGATCAAACTTACCCAGAACCAGTGAAGACTGGTCACTCATTTTACAAACAACCTTTGCAAATGGAACCACAAGGCTCTCCCAGTTGTTGGAAATATGCATCATAGGACATTCTGGGAGAAGGAAGAAAATTTCTAAAGCTTCTTGGGGTGGAGAATGAAATGGAAGTCTTTTGAGCAGATTATCTTTGAGGCAGGTGGTTATCTGTGGTCAGAAAGGAACAGGGAAAAGGGATTCAAAACTCAGTAGAAGCAGGGTGCAACTGATGGTAATAAAACAAGGTGTAGAGGCTGGAATGTCATTCTACTACTAAATGAGAATAATCATTGAGTTTTCTAAAACCCCTGTTTACATCCCTTCTCACCTAGCCTCCAAAATATTGGAGGTATTTGGGATATACAATTAGTATTCTCTCCATTCAATTATCAGGGTGCATGAAGGAGATCAAGCACACCTAACCAGTACTTTGGGAGGCCGAGGCAGGCAGATCACAAGGTCAGGAGATCGTGACCATCTTGACCAACATGGTGAAACCCTGTCTCTACTTAAAATATGAAAATTAGCTGGGCGTGACGGTGCGTGCCTGTAGTCCCAGCTCCTTGGGAGGCTGAGGCAGGAGAATCGCTTGAACCTGGGAGGCAGAGGTTGCAGTGAGCCGAGATTGTGTCACTGCACTCCAGGCACAGAGCAAGACTCCATCTCAAAAAAAAAAAAAAAAAAGAAAGAAAGAAAAAGAAAAAAACATGTGCAAGAATTACACTCAATGAACAATAGATTCAGAACTAATAAACAGCCTTCTCAGTCATAAGTACCATATTCTACCCTCTGGTTTACACTATCACACCGTGGGTTTCTTTTTTCAAGAGTAAAAATGCATCAGAACTCCAAAAAGCAGAAAAACAAAACAAAGCAAAAAAAAAAAAAAAAGACAAAATCCGAAAATTTCAAGAACAAAATTTAACATAATTCTCATTATCTTCCATAAGAGCAACTGTCTCTACCACAGACTCTAGTTTCTAGCCCCTCCAATTTCCTTATAGTTTCCCCAATTCAGAATGCAACTGTTTAGGAAAAAATGGAATGGAATTCTGAATTTTTGTTATGTGTGCTTAGATCACAGTAATCATTTGTTTAAAATCCCACTATGAAGATAAGCTAGTATTTATGGAATACTTATTACTTGTCAATTATTGTGCTAAGTGATGTACATATATTAATTAGGTCATTTAACCCTTATTATAGTTTCTCCCTAACACAGATGTTATTAATCCCATTTTACTGATGAGAAATCTGTGATTCAGAGAAATTAAGTAACTTGCTCAAGGTCACACAGCTAAGTGGGAATTTCTCTGGATCTTTCTGACTCCAAAGCCCAAATTCTTAATCATTATATTATGAGATAGTGGCTAAGTGATATCTGTAAATGTACGAATTGTTATAATTACCTATTTTTATATTAAAACATTATATTGGACTCCTACGATGAGATTCGGTCTTTGGAGTTACGTATACCTGACAACTCTATTTCAACATCTTATTAGTACACACGCATTCTACCTCCTTGCTCATCATCAGACACAACCTCAAGCCTCCTCACCTATTCCAAACCCTTAGAATTACTGTGATACCCTCGAGCCAGTCCTATTGTCTGACACACTGTGCTTTGGCATACGCTTTTCTAGCTGCCTCGAATATCCTTCCACGTGAGCACCTGGTAAGATCTTAATTCCTCTGGGCAACTTGTTTTGAGTAAAAAGAGCTAACCATTCACTGCCCTAATAATGACTCAATTCATCCAAAAATATTGCACACAGGCTACATTCTAAGCCAGGCACTAGCGAAGACAGTGAAGTGTAAAACACACCAGGTCTTTGCACTGATGTATGCATGTATGTATCTGTCTCCCTTACTACACCATGAGCTTCTAAAGCACAGGGAGTATGTCTCTTTTATTCTTCATCGAGTCATCATTACAGTGCCCAGCACACAGCAAGTATTCAAATGTTTGCTGAATAAATGAACACATGCCAAAGGTCTGAGAGTCCGTATCGCAGAACCTCAAGATAGAAAGAAACATTACAGGTCTTCTAATCCAATCATCTTATTCTGAAACAATGGAGGTCAAGGATGCCCTATGATTATTTCATTTACATACCATATGTTCTTTTTGTGGCACAATCAAGGTATAATTAGTAAACAGAAGGAGCCCTTAATGATGAACTGATCCAATCCCTTCCCTTCACAGACGCACAAAAGGGCTTCTATTTTTGGTAATCTTTCCATGGTTGTATTTAGTAGCAATGACTCAGAATCTTACAGAAAGAAAGTTAAACTGGCCCCCACAGGAGGATTTTAGAAAACAAAAGAAAATGAGCTCTAACAAATGTTGATGAAATAGTCCACTGAGTAGTTTCTGGGTTGTTGATACAGGCAGCACTAAGTGTTGTAGGGTCCCAATAAAGGTACATAATTAGGGAACCATTTCACCTCGGACCCCCAGTGGGGCTGTGGTTCTGCCAAAGTTAAGAGAACTGAACTTTCCATCTTTCCTTGAAAGAAAGGAGCGAATGAGAAAACTTGCAGCTGAAATAGAAAATGCTAGTTGTGGCAAACAGAGCAAGTGCGGGAGCTGAAAGGAGGAAGGGTGAGAGATCAAAGATTGAGAGGGAAAGAGAAGAGGGATATGAACACAGAGAGAGATTAAAAAATGGGGTGAGGCTAGAGGGAGGAAGGAGGGGAGGAGGGAAGGAGAGAGAAAGAAAGAAGGAACTACAGTGCGACCCAGAGAGAAAAAAATGGAGAGTAGAACAGAAAGTAGTATCCCCATATCAACCAGTAAAATAAAATAGGGAAATAATAAAAACTACATTAAGAAAAACTAAATTAATAAACGAAGCATGCAGTAAGCCGAGATCGCACCACTGGACTCCAGCCTGGGCAACAAAGCGAGACTCCGTTTCCAAAAAAATAAAAATAAAAATAAAGGAAGCATGTTTGGAGCACCTGCAAAAAGAAAACCTAAAGATAGCAGTAACAGTGCTGAAACAGGAAACAATCATCCCATAAGGAACAAGAACATTCTAGAATCTACAGAAAAGTAGAATGGAAAAAAAAAAAAAAAAAGAATCCAGGCAGTCCCTGGTGAGAGGGATATTCATATCAGAAAAAATGTTCTCATTTCTACATTTATGCTTTGCATATAAAATGTTCTTATTCTAGTGTACCAATCTCAACAAATCCTTAATCATCTTCCTAAAGCCCTGAGTTGAAAAACTTCCCTCTACGAATGTGTATGCATATATGTGTATGTGTGTTTGTGTACAGACACACTATTTAGAATATCTGTAACCTGTGTGACTACTATGCCAACTATTTCACCCTAAAAGGGCAAACTCCTAAATGTTATCTGAGTTTAACTTAATCTGAATATGCTACAAGGTCTCGGAGAATCCCTTAACACAAAACATTTCTTCTGAAATTTTGAGTTCTTTTAAGAAATATTCTGGTGTATTTTCTTTCTCCACATAACAATCTGAAGATACCATGTTAGTAATCCAGTCCTTTTGGGTTAACTCCTTGAAGATGTTTCTTGCTTTATTTAAGTCCAAATAAACAGGCATCATTTCTGTAGTTCTTCTGTAGAAGAAAGATAAATTAAGTATTTTGTTAGATTATCTCCCTAGATGCAAAGTTTCTTCTAGAGCTTGCCCCATTTCAACAAAATTACCTTTTTTCTCAAGTGTGTAACTATAATAAATTGTCTAAATCCAAATGCAATGTAGTAAACATGATTTTTTCTAAAATACCAAAAAATATCAAGGCTGCTTTAACTGTATATACCATAAGACTTTAACTCAGATGCTGTCTTATCTGTAATAGATTAAAAAAATTAATATTTCCCAGTTTAAAAAAAATAGCCACAGAGGGAGGCTGAGACAGGATAATCGCTTGAGCTTGAGAGATCAAGGCTGCAGTGAGTTGTGAACATGCCACTGTACTCCAGCCTGGGTGACAGAGCAAGATCCTGCCTCAGAAAAAGAAAGAAAGAAAAAAAGAAAAGAAAGAAGGAAGGGAAGGAGGGAGGGAGGGAGGGAGGAAAGAAGGGAGGGAAGAAGGGCGGGCCATAGAAAAAAGATAAAGGTTTTTCGAAGGAAGGAAGGAAGGAAGAAAGGACTGACCACAGGAAGGAAGGAAGGAAGACAGAAAAAAGATAAACATTTTTCCCATTTCTAAAAAATACATCCATTTCTTCCCGTTAAATGGACTGAAAAGTGGGAACCAAAAGAGAGGGCTTCTGACCAATAATTTCTTAGTACTTCAATATAAAGTTATTAATGAAATGTTTAAGTATCTTCTCATGGAAGACCTTCTAATGGAAGGTCATGCAGCCATTAAATTATGTTACCGGCTGGGTGCGGTAGCTCACACCTATAATCCCAACACCAGGAGGCTGAGGTGGGAGGACTGCTTGAGGCCAGGAGTTCAAGACCAGCCTGGGCAACATAGCAAAGCTGCTGTCTTTACAAAAGCTAAAAAATTAGCAGGAGGTGGTGGCACGTGCCTGTAGTCCCAGCTACGTGGAAGGCTAAGGTGGGAGTTTTGCTTGAGCCCAAGAGTTTGATGATGCTTGAGCCCAAGAACCAAGATGCTGTAACTCCAGCCTGGGTGATGGAGTGAGACCTTGTCTCAAAAAAAAAAAAATTACCAAAAAAGATAGAATAAAATGTAAAATGGGCAAATATTAGGTAGAAAACAATGTATAAACAATATGATCCAGCTGGGCATGGTGGCTTACACCTGAAATCCCAGCACTTGGGGAGGCCAAGGCTGGTAGATTGCCTGAGCTCAGGAGTTCGAGACCAGCCTGGCCAACATGGTAAAACTCTGGCTCTACAAAAAAATACAAAAATTAGCTGGGTGTAGTGCCATGTGTCTGAAGCCCCAGCTACTCAGGCTGAGGTGGGAGGACTGCTTGAGCCTAGGAGGCAGAGGTTACAATGAGCCAAGATCACAGAACTGCATTAAAGCATGGGCAACGACAGGGCAAGACCCTGTCTCAAAAAAAAAAAGAAAAAAACAAAGAACCAGTATGATCTCATTTTTTTTAAAAGAATACATTTGCATGAAAAAATATAATCATATACGTAAGTGCTAGCTATTACTCTTAAGTGATGGATTATGGAAGATTTTCACTTTCTTTTTATTGTGTGTATTTTTGACATTTTCTACAGCAAACATATATTTACTTTTGTTAAAAAAAATTTTTAAAAAGGGATGAACACACAGCTATTTTACTCTCCAATCATTTTTTTATCCTCTTTCACGGTACTCTTAATACAATTTAATACAATTAATTTATTACATATATTACCTTTTCCTTAAAAAACTTCCAGTTAGACAAGCAGGAGATGAAAATATCTCTTGGATTTCCCTATATTAGTAATAAGACACTGGTTAAACCAAATCACATGGTATACATACATACAGCCTCTTTCTTTACAGCATGAGACATGATAAATACCACATCTTATAACTATCCTTCCAACCTCTCCATTTGTCTCCTATCTGTATGCATATTACCTTGGCTTGGCTTCTAAAAGTCCATTCTGTTTGGTAAATCTCAAAATTTCAGTGGCAAACATGGGAAATAAAAAAGTTTATACATACTCAGAGAAGCCTCAAATAAAGAGGAAAGGCTTGATTTATGGTCAGAACTTTCTTGAACAAACAAAATACTCCCACCCCACCAACTATGCAAGTCCTATTTATTTCTATTCCACTGAAGTAGAAATAAATTACCAGAAATTAAATGGGGGAAGGAGTATGCTCAGTTTCATCTTAGAAGTAGTTGTACAGTTCTTAATTATTTATGCTCTGCAAATTATGATGCAACTATTTTGTGCAACTACTTTGTACAATCATTTTCCAGAATTAGAAAGCCATACCTAAAAATATTTCTAAAAGATGATGTTTGTAAGAATAGGTAGGAGTTCTGTAAACCTATAGGAGTTCTATGGTTTAGAGAAGAATGGTACAAATTGTTCAGCTAAGAATAACAGGTACACAAACTAATGGTTCCAGGATCAAATGGGACTGGGAAACACTATAGACTCTATTTTCTGGCCAGAGAGTCACAATATACATAAACAGAGGCCTGGAGAAGCCCTACAGTAAAGAAAGCTGTCCTCATGGCGCTTACATGCTAGTTGTGATGGGTTAGTTTTATATGTCAACTTGGCTAGGCCATGGTACCAAGATATTTGGTCAAATATTATTCTGGATGTTTCTATGAAAGTATTTTTTTAGATGAGATTAACATTTAAAATGGTAAACTGAGTAAAGCACTTGAACAAGTGAATAAAAAGAAAGGACCTTCCATAATGTGAGTGAGCCTCATCCAGTTGAAGGCCTTAAGAGAAAAGGCTGAGGTCACCCAAAGAAGAGGAAATTCTGCTTTTAGATTGCCTTCAGACTTGAGCTGCAACATCAACTCCTCCCCAAGTCTCCAGCCTGCTGGCCTGCCCTACAGATTTTGGACTTGCCAGCCCCTACAATCTCATAAGCCAATTCCTTAAAATAATCTCTCTCTCTCCCCTCCATAGATACATAGATGGACAGACAGACATGATAGAGATAAAGATAGAGACAGAAATACACACATATCCTATGAGTTTGTTTCTCTGGAAAACCCTGACTACAAAATCTCATATTGCTGTGCAGAACCAGTTTGGGAAATGATACTTGAGAGTGATATATAAGCAGAGAGTCAGACTGTGGGGTGTACCTTTTTGTGCTCTGCCACCGTTTAGTCTCCACATCAGCAATCCATCTCTTTACAGTCCCTTCATTCAGAGTAGGAATTGTCCTCTTCAGATTAACATATGAATTCTGTAAACAAACAGGAAAGTAAAATACAATAATTTAGACACATCAGAGATAGGCACCCAACTTTTAGGTACACTCTAGAGAGTAAAACTGACTTTTAAATATGTGTAATACAGCCCTGGGACAATCACAAAGTGATACTCAACAAATAAGTAATCAATCATTTGCCTGGTTGCCACTTTCTTGTCCAAGGGGGCTTAGACTGAAAGTAAATTTCTTTGAGGACTCAACACTCAGCACTTTATACAAATACAATCAAATTAAACTGAACATCAGACAGCCTTGAAGGGAAGGGAAGATCCTGAAAGAGCTGTGTGCAGAAGTGTGAGGAACTCGATTTCACTTGGTGAAGTAGGGCAGGGAAGTTATGGACTTTTTATTTGCAAGCCCATGAACCTTGGTGTCTTTCTTAGTACTGGCCTGCAAAGTCATTTTTAGAATCTGTCACTCTGTTGTTTGCAAGGATACTGACCAAACATCATTGGCAAGTAGCCCCCAAAAGGTAAGTATAGCCTATGGAAATCACACTGATTAGACATTCACCAGAGAAAAATCTGCTGATTTTTGTGGGAAAATACTGATGTAGTTTAGACAATAAAGGATCAGTAATGTCCAGCTATCCCCCAAAAAGTCAGCCTGGTAAACTGATGATTTTGGAATTCACCAAACTGGGATACTAGAACCCTTAGTTTTGCTTAAAATACCAGGTTATAGAACACCTGGAGATCTATTTTTACCTCTTTCTTTATCCAGAGCAAAATGCTTTGATTCCCTCCAGCAATCATTATTAACTCCTTTTCTGAGGTATGGCTTTCTGAAAGGATGCACAAAGAGTAAGAGTTTTAGAAAGTCATTTGGCACAAACATGCATGTTCAATTTAAATAACTTCAGATTCTTCTTAAACGTAGTCATCTTTTCTTCTTAATAGACAAAACTTAGTACATTTTCTGCCAATTAAGCAGCTGAAATACATATCCTTTGGAGTAAAGTCTAGTTGGCAAACATAGGTAATTCACAAGGTGGACATGTGACATCAGTTTAATATACATAATACAAATATTTATATATAAAATGCAAATATTTGATTAGCTAAATGTTATCAGTTTAATTCAACTCCCATTACTAAAAACCATGTTTTCAAGATTTAAGCAATGACTGCTGGCTATAAAGAATATAAGTACTTTAAGCCCATGTAACTGTTATAAGGAATCAAAGATAATACATGCTGCTTAAGGAAATAACTCTGTTCGTTTTCCTACAAGAAATGAGTAGATTTTGTTACTTGAGGTCACCACTAAGCTTTCAGAAACAAGTAACAGAAATGCTCCAAGGTGCTTCTACAATGGAGTGTTTCAGAGCTCAGACTCTGAGGTCATAAAGGGCACGGGTTCAACTCCAGACAAACCACTTACTGGCCATGATTAAGTGGCTAACCCTTTTCTCTCCAAGTCTCTTTATCCTCCAGTAAAAGAGGAGTGACAGAATACACCTCCCAGGAACTGTTACAAGGATTGGTGAGATAACACAAGTAAGTGCTGAGCACAGTTCAGTGCCAGGTATACGTTGATTGCTCATTATTCTGAGGGTTTTATATGACTGTGGATCAACTTAACCAGGGCAACCAGCCAATTACAAGAATTAGTAAACAACTAATTACAAGAATTAGTAAGTCTCTTGCAAACTGGAATGAGAGCTGCATATGCCTCTGAATCCATTGTCTATTTTATCATTTAAATTCACATTAATCCTAATCTGAAGGAGTAATATAGAATAATTATTTTGCCTCAGTAAATTAGACTGACTCTTGAATTGTTTACCAGTAAAAAATGAAACCAGTATTTAGAGAAACTCCCTTCATAGTCATATGTTGCTTTCTTTGCCACATTACCTAGTTAGAAAAATCATTTTCTCTAAAAAGATACTATGCCAAACCCTATGTTCCTATAGAATTTACCAAGTTTGAGTTCTTCACTTGATGATACTTTCACTGGAAGCGGCATCAGCTGGTCACGTGTTCCACCATTTCCCAGTTGTCCATCTTTTCCAGAACCAAAGGAAAAGACCTTTCCCAAATCAGAAACATAGGCAAGTGTGTGCCACCTATTAAATAAAAGCACATATGGTCAATTCTTAATTATCCACAATGATGAGAGTGTTTAGCAATACAGTAAATTGCCAAAACTATGTTACCCAGTGAGAGTGAAACTAAACATCTCTTAGAGGATGAAAATCATCTGGAAACCAAGAAATCAACATGTACCTGAAAAGACTTTGGAACCCAAAGGCCACTCAAGACCATGATGTCATACTTTGGCAAATGGTG